>NT_187569.1:0-132244 GCF_000001405.40 Homo sapiens
CTTGTGTCTGTCCTAAGCTCAGCCCACCACCAGTTTGTAGGAATTCCATGCCCCACATCCTGGTCCAGCTTCTCACTGCCCCACCCTGTCACCGCTGTGCCTGGGCGGGACTCATGCGATTCTTGTGATGGCAGGCGTGTCTCCCACCACCGAAATCCAGCTTCGCATTGCCGCACCCCATCACTTTTGCGCCCGGGAGGACGCGTGCGATTCTTGTGATGGCGGATGCATCTCCCACCACCAAAGTCCAGCACCTGCCACGCGCTTCCCATTAGTGCCTCCCTCCCCCAAAGGTGTTGGCTCACACCCTCCGTCCACTCCTTTACTGGATCTTACTAACTTGGAAACGTTTTCTGTAGGTTCACAAAGTGCACAGAATGAGTGTCTTCAGCTACATGAGTTGCAAACTCTAGGTTTGAGGCCACATTGCTCTTCTCGGTATCTTCTGTAACGGAAGGTTTTTCCCTTTTCCCAGTCACCACTCACCCTGCTGCCTGATTAGGGGCAGCCTCAGCCTAAGGCGGAGCTGCACCAATGGCGACACCTCAAGAGCAGACCCGCAGGCTCTAGCGGGCCGAAGGCAGAGCACGGCCGTGAGACCTCCAGGGCTCCAAGAGCAGACCCGCAGGCTCCAGCGGGGCTGAGGCGGAGCACGGCTGTGAGACCTCCAGGGCTTGGCTGCATGGGCCCTGGCAGATGTTAGAGCTGCAGCAGGCTGGGGAAGGCCAGCAGGAGTGGGGCTGGGGACAGCCAAGTGTGAGGGGCTCATCCTGCATGAGCTACCCAAAAGCAAGTGTGGTTTCAGAAGTCTGAGCTTTGGAGACAAACCTGAAAGACATCAGCAAACAGATTCAACCCTGTGAAATTGTATTTTTCTTGATCAACAAAAGTAGCAGCTTTGTGTGGTACACCGGGTGATGGCATTGACAGCAATGAGCGCCTCTGCCCAGGGGCCTGGGGCCAGACCTGTGCTGGCAGAGGGTGGAGAGGACGAGACTCGGGTGGGGCTGCGACAGGAAGAGGAGGAGGGCGCTGGGTGGTGGCCGGGGGACTTTAAGCTGCAATAGTGTTGGTGTGTGCAGAGAGGACGGCCCTGTGGGAAGTGTTGGGGGACTTGCTGGGGGCACATCCTGAGGGATGGCAAAGGCGGCACCTCCCAACTGTGAGTCCAGGTGCAGCACAACGCAGGGGCAGGGGACACTGTGGGGGGCCCTGGGGGCTGATTCTAGCCCCAACCACCACAAGGGCAACTTCTTACTGAGAGACAGGCAAGGCTGAACCCCAGCCCCAACAGGCCCCTGGCAATGGTGTGGGACGAGCCCAGATGCCAACACCAGGCATCCCAGCAACATGCTTGAGGCCCAGAGCACACGAGCCGAACAGGAACCGGCAGGCCTGGTCAACAGCAGTGGCCTGGTGCCCCAGCCCCAGCTAGGCCCCCACCCGGCACTGTCCAGCTCCTCCTCACTGCCCCACCACAACTCATGTGCTCGCCCAGGCACAGGTGCCCTTTCCTGAAAAATGTTAGATGGGAGGTAAAGTTTTGAAACCATGCCTGTCTGGAAATGTCTTCATTCTACCTTGACAACAGATGAACTATTCGGCTTCATCAGGGTCATTCTGTCACAATTTTGAAAGTGCTTCCTGGTTCTCCAGCCCTACGGTGGCTAAGAAGCGCCCCAGCCCTGGCCCCCAGCTTCTGCAGCCTCCTAAGGGTCTGGTCTCACCCACTGTGCTGAGCACACAAGCCCGACGTGCCTGGTGACATGCATGGTGTCCCCTCTGTCCTTTTTCTAGAACTCCAGTGACCGAGACACTGAGCTTCCTAGACTCTCCTCTTCATTTCCTATTTGCTGTGGTGTGAATGAATGTCCCCCGCCAAATGCAGATGCTAGACCCAGAACCCCATGTGACAGTGTTAAGAGGTGGCACCACTAACCCCACCCCAGGGGGTGATCACGTCCTGAGGGCCTGGCCTTTCCCTCTCTTTCGCTAGGTGAGAGGTGCCAGTGAGGAGCTGGCCCTCCTCAGACGCCAACCGGCCAGGGCCTTGCTCACGGACTTCCCAGCCTCCAGAACTGTGAGAAGTAAGTTTCTGTTGTCTATAAATTACCCATCTGTAATAGGCCATTCTTGCATTGCTATAAAGCAATACCTGAGACTGTAATTTATAAAGAAAAGAGGTTTAGTTGCCTCACGGTTCTGCAGGCTGTACAGGTAGCATGGCACCAACATCCCTTGGCTTCCGGGGAGGCCTCAGGTAGCTCTGACTCATGGCGGAAGGCCAGCAGGAGCAGGTGCCTCACATGGCCAAAGCAGGGGCAAGAGGGGGCAGCTGCTGCCCACGTTTAAATGACCAGATCCATCTCGCATGAGCCAGAGCCAGAGCTCACTCATCGCCAAGGGGGTGGGCCAAGCCATTCATGAGGGATCCACCCCCATGATCCAAACACCTCCCGCCAGACCCCACCTCCAACACCGGGGATTATATTTCAACATGAGATTTGGGCAAATATCCAACCATCCCACCAGTCCAGGGCACTTAGCTGCAGCAGCAGGAACGGACGAGGCCCCATTTCTTGCCTGTCCTTCTGCCCTTCTTTCTGGAAAGCTGCACCCTCGTCACTCATCTTCCAACCCTCGAGTTCTCATTCCCGCCATCACACCTTTAACAGCCAAGCATTTTTTCTGTTCTCTGAATATCCCTTTCTTTACGCCATCTGCCCCGTTTCACGGGTGTGATATCCTCTCGTTCCTGAGGATAATCACACTATCTGATGCTCTTCTCTGTGAAGAGTCTCTATCTTCTGCAAGTTGAAGTTGGTCTGTGTCATTCCTGTTGGAAGCTTGACTCTGAACCTGTCGAGGTGGATGGGGCCAAGTCAGTGCAGTGCAGCTGGGCCATCTGTCGGGGTCCCTGGTGTAAGCACCTCTGGGTCTCCCTTGGCAGTTGGATCCCCCAAAGAAACCTGTGCAGAGGGAAAGGCCTGGCCGCCATCCCATTCTGGGCAGGGAACTTCCAGCTTCACCTCGGCCAGAGCCCCAGTACCAACATCTCCTGTTTTCTTGTAACCTTTTTCCAGAGAAAGGGCCTCCACACCGGGCAGGGCAACTGTCAGTGTCAAGAACTGAGAGCAAGAGTCTAGGACCCAACTGCTTTTCAAACAGCCGGTGACTGGGCCTCCGTATCTCAGCTGCCACCTCTCAGAAAGCTAGGGCCATGATTCTGAGCCCTCAGGTGAAGCCAGTGCAACGTGCACTGGTTCTCACCCTGTGAGCCCCCTTGCCACCGCCCTGCCCTCCTGGGTCTGCCAGGACCATCACTGCCCCTCCTGGAGCTTCTGACCTCCAAAGTGCTGATTCTGCTTTCTTTTTTCCATGCAAGTCACATCCTGGTGAACTTTTTTCTAAAACAGTTTCACTGCAGTATAAGTTGCACACCTTAAGATCCATGCACTGTGAGTACACAATTCAGTGACTGCTATAAGTTCACAGAACAGGCACCGTCACCCTCCAGGAAAGCCGTGGAGCCCACCTCCCGTCACTTGTCCAGAGCACCGTCATCCTCCAGGAGAGCTGCAGAGCCCACCTCCCGTCACTTGTCCAGAGCCTGCAGCCCCTCTTCCAGCCGCACTGGAGCAGCCTGTGACCGATCAACCTCAAAGCATGTCGACAAACCCTCACTGCCTCTGCCTGGTGGCCTCAGCGTGCACGAGGACTGTGTGTCAATGAGTGGTGGGCTTGCCTGGTGGAACTGGCGAATCGAGGGGTACAGTGGGCTGCACCACAGGGCAGAGCCGGGTCTGGGCCTGGGCCGTCAGTCCCCTGCCCCAGGGGTTCTGGTGGGCTCATGGGCAGTTGCCTCACCCAGACAGGGCAGCAGGATTGCCACCAACTGGCCAAACACACTCTCCAAAGCGCCATCTCCCCAGGCAGCGCTGCACATCAGGTGATGGCCCCACAACCGCCCAGACAATTGCCCTGAGCCTGAGGCTGGGCAGGGACTCGGCACATTTCTCACAGACCCAAACCCTAATTTCTCACAAACCCAAACTCCAAAAATGCTGTCAAAGAGAAAATACTCCAACAATCATGTTTCACAATCAAGATATATTTTACTTATTTTTCATTTAAGAGGTGAATTATGAATCCAGCTCAAGAAATCTTCCGGGCCATGCTCAGTAGGCCAAGACCTGCCTAAGCAACATAGTGAGACCCCATCTCTATAAATTTCTTTTTTTAATTAGCCAAGCAAGGTGGCTTGTGCCTGTAATCCCAGCTTCCTGGGAGGCTGAGGCAGGAGGATCACCTGAGCCTGGGGAGGTGGAGGCTGCAGTGAGCTGAGATCCGCCACTGCACTCCAGCCTGGGTGACACAGCAAGACCCTGTTTTTTTTTGTTTGTTTGTTTGTTTGTTTTTAAAAGAAAGGCCAGGCGCAGTGGCTCACGCCTATAATCCCAGCACTTCGGGAAGCCGAGGCAGGTGGATCATGAGGTCAGGAGATTGGGACCATCCTGGCCAACATGGTGAAACCCCGTCTCTACTAAAAACACAGAAAAATTAGCTGGGTGTGGTGGCATGTACCTGTAATCCCAGCTACTTGGGAGGCTGAGGCAGGAGAATCGCTTGAACCTGGGAGGCAGAGATTGCAGTGAGCTGAGATCATGCCACTGCACTCCAGCCTGGTGACAGAGTGAGACTCCGTCTCAAAAAAAAGAAGAAAAAGAAAAGAAAAGAAAAATTGGAATGTCCAGTCGGCAAAAAAAGAAAAGAAATCTTCCATAATGCCCAAAATTTCAAAGCCCAGCTACTAATTCAAAGCTAAATGCTTTGTAGTTAACTATGAATTTCATGGAGTTTACTTTCAAGTCACACTACATTTTCTTAAAGTGGTCCTTCATAACATGGACCATGAGAACAAAAAAATTTGAAATTTGGGCCCCACTGAATTTTAATAGATAGAGTCTTGCTCTGTCACCCAGGCTGGAGCGCAGTGGTGATTGCAGATCCTGCAGCCTCCACCTCCAGGGCTCACTCCTATCTCAGCCCCCAGAGCAGCCAGGACTACAGCGCGTACCACCATGCCTGGTGAACCTATATTTGAGTCTTAAATTTAATCCATAATCAGCACACAACAGGAAAAGCTGCCTCTCCACATGAGATTTAAAAAGATACATGAATACAAGTTCTGCAGTCAGTTGTAACAAACTGCAGAGAGGAAAACAAAACTTCTTACCCAATTAACGGGAAAGACAAACCAAATATAAAGATGTCATCAGACTGAAAGAAGCCCTCTGTGCCCATGAAGGCAATCTAATCAGTGCCTTTCAGTCCCTGAGCCACTGGGCTCCCGGGAACTCCAGGCCTCTGCTGGCGCATTCTCCACTCCAGTCTAGAACTCCAGGCCTCTGCAGGCGCAGTCTCCACTCCTGTCTGGAACTCCAGGCCTCTGCAGGCGCAGTCTCCACTCCTGTCTGGAACTCCAGGCCTCTGCAGGCGCAGTCTCCACTCCTGTCTGGAACTCCAGGCCTCTGCAGGCGCAGTCTCCACTCCTGTCTGGAACTCCAGGCCTCTGCAGGCGCAGTCTCCACTCCTGTCTGGAACTCCAGGCCTCTGCAGGCGCAGTCTCCACTCCTGTCTGGAACTCCAGGCCTCTGCAGGCGCAGTCTCCACTCCTGTCTGGAACTCCAGGCCTCTGCAGGCGCAGTCTCCACTCCTGTCTGGAACTCCAGGCCTCTGCAGGCGCAGTCTCCACTCCTGTCTGGAACTCCAGGCCTCTGCAGGCGCAGTCTCCACTCCTGTCTGGAACTCCAGGCCTCTGCAGGCGCAGTCTCCACTCCTGTCTGGAACTCCAGGCCTCTGCAGGCGCAGTCTCCACTCCTGTCTGGAACTCCAGGCCTCTGCAGGCGCAGTCTCCACTCCTGTCTGGAACTCCAGGCCTCTGCAGGCGCAGTCTCCACTCCTGTCTGGAACTCCAGGCCTCTGCAGGCGCAGTCTCCACTCCTGTCTGGAACTCCAGGCCTCTGCAGGCGCAGTCTCCACTCCTGTCTGGAACTCCAGGCCTCTGCAGGCGCAGTCTCCACTCCTGTCTGGAACTCCAGGCCTCTGCAGGCGCAGTCTCCACTCGGCTCCCGGGAACTCCAGGCCCTGTGCGGGTGTAGTCTCCACTCCTGTCTGGAACACTTCCCTGCACATTCTGGCCTTGGGTAACTTCTGTCTCTCCTTCAGGACTAAGCTCACACATTCACTTCTCAGGGAAACATTCTCGAATCCCTAATCTAGGTGTTCCCACAAAGGATTCTGGTGATACTGTAAAATGTGTGCTTGGTCTTCATCCCACCCTGGCACGCAGCTCCTAAAATGCTTAGAATCTCCATGGTTATGTTGTTTTGTACATTAGTGAGTTGACTCAGGGCTGCAGCCCCTAGGTGGCTTGAGGATGGGGTAGGTCACCAGAAAGACCAACGCACGATTAGAGGGGTGGAATTTTCAGCTGCACTCCCCATGGGGGGAGGCGAAAGAGGCTGAAGGTTAAGTTGGTCACCAACGGTTTAAGCAATCATGCCTATGTAATGACGCTTCCATAAAACCCCAAAAGGACAGCGTTCAAGAAGCTTCCAGAGAGCTGAACACATGGGGGGAGGTTTCTGGAGAACAGTGCACCTAGGGAGGGCATGGAAGTTCCAGGCCCTTTCCCCACACCTCACCCTACGCTTCTCTTCATCTGTATCCTTTGTAATATCCTCCATGATAAACATCAATGTAAGCTTCCCAAAATTCTATGAGTCACTCTTGAAAATCAGTCAGACCCAAGGAGGGGGTGTGGGAACCCCGATTTGTACCTGGTTGGTCAGAGCTCGGGTGAATTATCCCTGGGCTTGTGATGGGCACTGGAAGTGGGGGTGGTCTTGGGGAGCTGAGCGCTTACCCGGTGGGATCTGAGTCTCCCGCTAGGTAGACAGTGTGGAGACTGAATTAGAGGGGGGCTGAGGCTACCGCCAGGTAGACAGTGTGAGGACTGACTTACAGGGTGGCTGAACACTCACCCAGTAGGATCTGAGGCTACCGCCAGGTAGACAGTGTGGGGACTGAATTAGAGGGGGGCTGAGGCTACCGCCAGGTAGACAGTGTGGGGACTGAATTAGAGGGGGGCTGAGGCTACCGCCAGGTAGACAGTGTGGGGACTGAATTAGAGGGGGGCTGAGGCTACCGCCAGGTAGACAGTGTGGGGACTGAATTAGAGGGGGGCTGAGGCTACCGCCAGGTAGACAGTGTGGGGACTGAATTAGAGGGGGCTGAGCACTTACCCGGTGGGATCTGAGGCTACCACCAGGCAGACAGTGTGAGGACTGAATTAGAGGGGGGCTGAATCTCCTGCCAGGTAAGACAGTGTGGGGACCGACTTAGAGGACACCCAGCTGGTGTCTGCTGTGGGACTGATTTGTGGCTGGTATGGAGAAACCCTTCTTGGTGACCACAGGTAGATAATTCTTCTGTGTTGATTCTTACGGGGTGAGTGCAGAAGAAAAACTTCTTAAAACTCAATACTCAGCTAATGTTAGTGGAGGATTAGCAATTAAGAGTGGGAAAGGGGTAGGAAAATGTAAACTCACAATTGAACTGCCTGGGTTAGTTTGTTTTGTTTTTACTGAGGGACTAGGGGGAGGAGTACAGAAGGAACAGAAAAGATGACAAAAGGAAGAAACTATGGGGTCTGCAGGAACCCTACACACCAGGCCAAGCTCCCGACAGCCCCAATCCTCCCTGCGATGCAGGCGATGTGAAGATGCCCAGGAGGGCGGGACGCCTGGTACATCAGAGCAGATGCTAACACAGACACAGCATTACCAAACCCCATTTTCACTTCTGCAGGATAAAGTATGCATGACATCTGCTAGCTCTGCACACTTGCATCTTTAACCAAACTAGCCTTGTACATGTTTAAAGGACCAAGGTGGTTCCCAGCCTTGGAGCATCGCCGGGGTGACACTCCCGCACCCCAGGCTCAGCACCCTCCATTTACCACCTTGTTTTGGTAAGGAACATTTCAGTCACTTCCAGAAAAAAGATGCCTGAGGCCTTTGATAGTTTCAAAGGGTAAAGAATACTACAAAGGAAATCACTTTCCATCAGAATTTTGAACTTACTGCTTCACAGACTTCCAAACTCCAGAACTGCTATTAAGAAGTCCAAAGTTATTCTGACCCTCAATCCTGGAATGCAATCTGTGTCTTTCTGGAAGCTTTCCGAATCTTCAATCTGTTCTCAGGGTCTAGGATTTCCAGACGCCGTGTCTTTGTGTCTTTGTACCAGTCTGTTTTCACACAGTGTGTGGGTGTCTGGTGGACTCTGGGACATTTTGTTCAGTGACTTTCTCTCATTGATGTTTCTTCCATCTCATTCCTAAAACTTTTACTATCCAGGTACTGGACTCTCTAGACTGGTCCTTGAATATTCTTTTCTCCTATTCTCCAACTCCAAATTTTTGCTCTATTTTCTGAGAGATTCTCAACTTTATCTTGCAACCCATGCTTCTGTTTAGTCTTTTTTTTCTTTTGAACCCTACAAAGATTATTTCATTGCTGGGCGCAGTGGCTCACGCCTGTAATCCCAGCACTTTGGGAGGCTGAGGTGAGCGGATCATGAGGTCAAGAGATTGAGATTATCCTGGCCAACATGGTGAAACCCGGTCTCTACTAAAAATACAAAAATTAGCTGGGCATGGTGGCGGGTGCCTGTAATCCCAGCTACTCAGGAGGTTGAGGCAGGAAAATCGCTTCAACCCGGGAGGCAGAGGTTGCAGTGAGCCAAGGTCACGCCACTGCACTTCAGCCTGGCAACAGAGCGAGACTCTGTCTCAAAAAACAAACAAACAAAAAACAATTATTTCATGCAATGTTTATAGACTTAGAGATGTGTTTACGTTTTGCTAACCATTTCTTTTTGCATCTCTCTCTCTCTCTTTTTTTTTTAGACGGTCTTGCTCGGTTGCCCAGGCTGGAGTGCAGTGGCACCATCATGCCTCACAGCAACCTCAAACTCCTGGGCTCAAGTGACCCTCCTGAGTAGCTGGGACCATAGGTGTGTGCCACCCACACATGGATATTTTTCTTTCTTTTTTTTTTTTTTAGAGAGGGGTCTTGCTATGTTGCTTAGGCTGGTCTTGAACTCCTGGCCTCAAGTAATCCTCCTTCCTCAGCCTCTCAAAGTGCTGCGATAACAGGCATGACCCACCACGCCCAGCTCATTCTTTCCTTTTAAAACATTTTTCCTTCTTCCTGAATCCTGTCTTTTAGAAGCATCTTTAATGATGGTCTGTTGGTAGTAAACTCTGTTTTATCTGAAAATGTCATTTCACCTTTGATGTTAAAAGATAATTTTGTTGGATACTCAATAGGTTCCTTCTCTCAATATTGAAGATGAACACCACAGTCTTCTGGCTTTCTCTGCTGCTGAGAAGGCAGCCGGCCGTCTGTACTGCTGGCACTGCCCTGGATGACTTCTCTCCTACCTCTGATTGCTTTTAAAATCTTCTCTTGGTCTTTGGTGTTTTGGAGCTTTCCTATGATGTGTCTCCACATGGATTTCTTTCATTTAACCTGTTTAAAATATACTGCGTTTCCATTACCTAGGGACTCAAATCTTTCATCAGTTACAAAATATCCTTCAGCCAACGGCTCTTCAAATACTGCCTCTTCTCCATTCTATTTTCCCCTTCTGGGGCTGAAATCAAATGTATCTTAAACTTTTGCATTCTATCCTCTGTGTCTCAATCAACCTCTCTGTCACTTTCCCCGTCTTGTTAACTCTTGGCTGCATTCTTAAAAAATGTCTTCCAGTTCACAAAGTTTCTCTCAACTGTACATAATCTGACATTTAACCTATTGATTGGTCTCTTTCAAATCTTCCTGATCACTCCTGCTGATCTCTTGTTTTCTGCTCATCTTCATGTTCTTTTTCACTTTTTAAGTCCCTAGTACCTCAATTTTCGAGACTTTTGAGTGTTCTGTAGCACAAACAGGATGAATCCTTAGCTTCCCTCACTGCCGACATGGAATCTGGCTTTCTCGGATCTGCTCAGTAAATGATCACTCACCCATCTGCTTCCCAGCTTCCAGAACTTCACTACTGTCTTCTCTCCCACTTCACCCATTCCCTGTGAGTCTGACTTTTTAAAACATCACTTTGCTGTTCACTTAGCAAAGGCTTGGGAAAGAGTGACACTGCATTTGTTTTCACTCTGCCACCCTTACCTGGAAGCCAGTATGCTTTTTTTAAAAATTACCTTCGGCACGGGCCAGGAGCGGTGGCTCACGCCTGTAATCCCGACACTTTGGGAGGCCGAGGCAGGTAGATCACTTGAGGTCAGGAGTTTGAGACCAGTCTGACCAACATGGTGAAACTCCACCTCTACTAAAAATACAAAAATTAGCCGGGCATGGTGGTACATGCCTGAGTCCCCGCTACTTGGGAGGCTGAGGCAGGAGAATCACTTGAGCCCGGGAGGTGGAGGTTGCAGTGAGCTGAGATCGCACCACTGCACTCCAGCCTGGGTGACAGAGCGAGATGCTGTCTCAAAAAAAAAAAAAAAAGAAAGAAAGAAAGAAAGAAAGAAAAGAAATATTTTTGAATTAATTTAAATTTCATTTCTATCACAAAAACTATTTCAAAATATAAAAAAAGAACTTCTTAAATCATCATCTGTTAACATTAACCATATTACAGGCACACCGCACAGATGTCTTCCTGGTCAACATTTCTTGGTAGAGCATCTTTTTATTTTTGACAGTTTATAAGTTCACAAACCATATGATTCTTCCAATACGTATTCCTGTCAATGGTTGCCACGGTAAATTTTGTATTTACATCAAGAAACAAAACCAACATTTTAACAAAATGAAGTGCAGGGGAGAAAAAAAAAATCCTCAAGTTGCATTTCAGATACAAGTAGAAGACGCCACAATCACACACGTGGATGTGAGCAGAGCACGTGCTGCGTGGATGATGCTGACACAAACAGGCCTCTCAATGTCACCCTGGGAAAAGCAACAGTGAAAGCTTCACCTCGGCTGTCCAGTGTCAGGAAGCCGCATTTAAAACATTAACATCCTCACACAATAGCCTGTTTCTTGTATAAAGGGTGTTTGTTACACGGATGCTTTGTCTTAGGAAACTGGTTGCACTGACACAATAATTTACTGGCTTTTCCTATTTAACATGAAAAAGACAGCATTTTCATGCAAGACGTCTGGTTTTCAGGAATGGGTTACGGATGCAAGAACTACCCTTGCTCTCTGTAGAATATATTACAGGCGACATGCAGAAAATATGGAAAACCATTTCTGCCAAAAGCCAGATCGAGTAATCTATGCTATTTTAGAAGCTCCATGACACCAGGGATTGGCTAAACACAAACACGTTCAAACAAGCACCCACCTGTTTTTGGACTCTCGCGTGGCTCAGTTGCACACGGGGGACTGACAGGGACAGTTTTCATGGCACATGATGTGGTTTGGCTCTGTGTCCCCACCCAAATCTCATTTTGTAGCTCCCATAATTCCCACATGTTGGGGGAGCGACCTGGTGGGAGATAATTGAATCATAGGGGTGGGTCTTTCCCATGCTGTTTTCGTGATAGTGAATGAGTCTCACGAGATCTGATGGTTTTAAAAATGGGAGTCTCCCTGCACAAGCTCTCCTCTTTGCCTGCTGCCATCCAGGTAAGACGTGACTTGCTCCTCCTTGCCTTGCACCATGATTGTGAGGCCTCCCCAGCCATGTGGAACTGTGTAAGTCCATTAAACCCTTTTTCCTGTATAAATTACCCAGTCTCAGGTATGTTTTTATCAGCAGCTTGAAAACAGACTAATACAGCACACTTACAAAGCAACACTTCAATGTAGATTTAGCAGAAACAACAAAAAATGTCACAACACTGCAGTAAAGAAGTGTTTTCCCGATAAATACCCATTAGGTATTAGATAAGCATCCCATAAAACATTGTTGAAAACGAAGCCGAGTTTTCGATTCACACAGTTGTCTGTTTTAACCTCTCTAAATCCCGATAAATAGCCATTAGGTATTAGATAAGCGTCCCACGAAACATTGTTGAAAACGAAGCCACGTTTTCCGATTCACACAGTTAGTTGTCTGTTTTAACCTCGCTAAATGCTCTGTTCTAGTTGCTTTCATTTCATCAGACCCTAGTACATAGAAATCAACATTGTGAGGGTCCCACTCTTCATCTATATAGACATTACTCTATTTCTTATTTCCTACAATAATAAAATGTACACTCAACTAGATATTTTTATTTCTCATCTGCCTGGGCCCATCCCAGCACCAGTTCTTGCAGAGGTGTTCCAGGAGGTGACATCTGAAAGCTTTCATCCACCATCCACCTGTTCTGCCACAGGATCACGGGGGGAAAGACCACACCGGCTTCTGGTTCTCAGGTTCTAGTCTATGACATCTGGGACCCTGGGGCACCGGTCTCTGGCCCTCAAGGCACCAGAGGACGGGAAAGGAGAGGCAGACGCTATTAAATTCTTTATGGAATGAAAATTAACTCTTTATGTTGTATAACTGGCTGCTACAATCTGTCAAGCAGAAATGAGACAACATGGAGATGCAGACGCAGGCAGATGATGGGCTGGTAAAGCGAAGCTGACCACCAAGACCCCACCATGCTCACATCGAGGAGGAATGCAGTGGCGCCCAGGTGGCCAACTCCCGAGGCAGGAGCTCAGGCAGGGCCCTGGCAGCACCACCTGACCTGTCTCCTGGCATCCCCTCAGCTCTCCTGCGTTCTGCCCATCACTCACCCCAGGACTCCATCCTCCCACACCCCTCAACTTCCAGCTTAGACTCAGCCTCTGTCGGCCTCCGCCAAAAGCAGAGCCTGAGACGAGGATGTGGCTTCATGGGCTCTATTTAGGAGGGGAGCTCGGGAAGAAGAAACGCAGACCCAGGATGCACCCAAGCTCCTGCCACAGTCTGAGCTGGCCCCACAGGTACCCAAGAGTGTCCTCTGAAGCCAGTGCATTTACCCATCATGCAAGGAGAGGGGGACATCCCATCACAGTGCAGCCACGAGGAGGAGGGGTACCTGCCACAAGCTCCGGGTGGGCCACTGCAGCCACCCACTACCTCATCCTTGGCCCCTCGGCATACCCACCTGCAAATCCAAACCTGGAGAGACAAAACTCTCAGAACCACACCCAGGCTACATAGATCTGTGAGCAACAGATGTATGTTGCTTTAAGAGGTTAAATCTGTGGTGGTTTGTTATGGCAGCAATAGAATACTAACACAGATGTGGCTTACACCTCTGATCTCAGCACTTTGGGATGCTGAGGCGGGCTGATTGCTTGAGTGCACAAGTTCAAGACCAGCCTCAGCAACATGAGACCTCGTCTCTATTAAAAATCAAAACAAACAAAGATAAAAAGTGGGCTGGGTGCAGTGGCTCAGGCCTGTTAATCCCAGCAATTTGGGAGGCAGAGGTGGGTGGATGACCTGAGACCAGCAGTTCAAGATTAGCCTGGCCAACATGGTGAAACCCTGACTCTACTAAAAATACAAAATATTAGCCAGGCATGGTGGCGGGCGCCTGTAGTCCCAGCTACTCAGGAGGCTGAGGCAGGAGAATTGCTTGAGCCTGGGAGGCGGAGGCTGCAGTGAGCTGACATCATGCTACCACACTCCAGCCTGGGTGACAGAGTGAGACTCCGTCTTAGGGGAAAAAAAATAGATAAAAATTAAAAAAAAAAAAATTAGCCAGGTGATACAGTTTGGCTCTGTGTCCCCACCCAAATCTCACCTTGAATTGCAATAATCACCACGTGTCATGAGAGGGACCTAGTGGGAGGTAACTGAATCATGGGGACGGGTCTTTCCTGAGCTGTTCTCATGACTGTGAATAAGTGTCATGAGATCCGATGGTTTTATAAGAGGGCAGTTCCCCTGTACACACTCTCTTGCTTCCCCTTTGCCTTCTGCCACGATGGTGAGGCCTCCCCAACTGTGTTGAACTGTGAGTCAACTAAACCTCTTTCCTTTATAAATTACCCAGTCTCGGGTATGTCTTTATTAGCAGCACGATAACAGACTAATACATCAGGTGTGATGGCTCATGCCTGTGATCTCAGCTACTTGGGAGGCTGAGGCAGGAGGATCCCTTGAGCACAGGAGATTGAGGCTGCCGTGAGCCGACATCACACCACTCCACTCCAGTCTGGGCAACAGAGCAAGACCCTGTTTCAAACAAGCAAACAAAACAACAACAATAGAAAATTAACACCAAGGTCTTCCTCCTCCTCAGGAAGCTTCTGCTGTCAATGATCCCTTGTCTCTTCTGTAGAGTAGCCCTCCCCCTCCCCACCAGCCTTCCTGCCAGTATTTAACATGTTCTTATCTCCACCGTATTAAGAGATGGTGTGGTGGCTCACGTTTGTAATTGTAGCACTTTGGGAGGCTGAGGTGAGTGGACTGCTTGAACTCAGGTGCTTGAGACCAGCCTGGGCAACATGGCAAAACCCTGTCTCTACAAAAAAATTGCCAGGCATGGTGGTGCACACCTGCATTCTCAGCTACTTGGGAGGCCGAGTGGGAGGACTGCTTGAGCCCGGGAGGCAGAGGTTGCAGTGAGCTGTGATCATGCCACTGTACTTCAGCCTAGGCGACAGAGCCAGACCCAATCTCAAAAAGAAAAACAAAAGAAAAAAATAATCACACAGAGAGACTGGTGCCCAGCTCTCTGCCCCTCCAGCCACCACTTTGGTTCTCACCCCGCATGTCCCCACAGTTCCTTTGACGAAGTGGCCTCCATCTCCTCACCTTCCCCTGGGACCTCAACTCTGATACTCTGGTCTATGCCTCCACTCGACTGAAATCTCCAGTGACTTCCAAGACACTAAACTGAATCCAGAGGATTGTACTCAATGTTACTAAAGGACCAAGACTTCTTAGACTCAACAACCAAAGGACGTGTGATAGAAGAAAAACAAAGTACTGGGATTACATGCGTAACCACCATGCCTAGCTTGTCTTTTCATCTTCTTAATGGTGTATTTTGAAGCACAAAGGTTATGAATTTTGATAGAAAGTCTATTTTGCTATTGTTTTTCACCCAATAGGATGGCTAGGGAAAAAAAGAAAGGCAATGTTTTAAAAGGGAGAAAAAAAATAAGTCACACAAAAGTGTTGGCAAGAATGTGGAGAAACAAGAGCCCTCGTACACTGCAAGTAAGAACTCACTTTGGAAAACAGTTTGGCAAAAATCTACCACGTGACCCAGCAATTCCACTCCCAGGAATCTAGTCGGGAGACATGAAGTCACAAATGCACAGTGAGACCCGGACACGCACATTCCCGGCAGCACCATTCACAGGAGCCAAACACAGCACAGCCCCACGTTCACCACCAGACGATGGGGGAGAAAAGACGGTGGACCCACTCAATGCGATGCTTCAGCCATAGAGAGGGATTGGCTCTAAGGCTAAAAGAGCCCTCCAGAAACCCTGGAGAAAGTGTTTTAAAAAACAAAAGAAAGCAGGCAACAAAGTCAGACACAAAAGATGACATATTGTAGGATTCCATGTCCATGAAGTGACCAGGAGCGGCAGATCGGCAGAGATGGAGGCGGCTATGAGGCGGGGCTGGGCACAAAGCAGCAGCATCTTCTAGGTGATGGAAATGCTCAACAGGAGGTGATGGCTGCACGACTCTACAAATTTACTAAAAACCATGGGATTATATACTTGAAATGAGTGAATTTTTTATATATAAATTATACCTCCATAATTGAAACACTGCCAAATGCACGCCGGCTCGTGGCGGCACCCCTTCCGGCTTCCACCATGCATTTCTGAGCTCTGAGTCACTTGAAGCGGCATCCGAGGCCTTCTCTCACTACAGGCCCTTGGGAGCAGTGCAGTCTGCAGGACTTCATCATCAACCCAGGCCAAACCACGTCCCTGTCCGTGACTTCGCACCTGGCCTTTCAGCACCAGGTGTCTGCACAGCTCTTGGCTGCACCTGCACTCTGAGTCATTGCAGGCACCAAACCCAAGCCCTGTACCTTCACCCTACACCTGAGCCCCTTCCTCAGGAGCTGTGCTGCCTCCTCAGAACTCAATTTCATCTCATCAGACTCTGCCCCTAGCAGGTCCTCTGCTCCGTGCTGCCACACCCTGCCCAGTGCGCCCATTCAGGACAGAAGTCAGTCCTCGCAGGCTTGTCCCTGGGTGGCAGGTGACAGGCGCTGGGCCACGGCAGAGAGCACATGTCAACCGCAGTCCCCGTGTTATCCAGGAGGAAGCGAAGAAAACACTGGGCAGGTCCACAGTTAAACTGCAACTCTCTAACAAGAAGTGGGTCCTAAGCCTGGCTCTGCACAGCTCCAAAACCCCATCCCTCTCATACTCAGAGCTGCAGATGCCAGTGCAACCATGTGGAGAAGAAGCTGGATGAAGTCACAGCCGTGAAACTCAGGCTGGAAGCTCTGGGACACTACATGAACTGAAGGCACGAGAAGTCCAGGTGTCAAGGAGAGGTTGGCCATGAGGTCAGATGCCCAGCTGGGAACCAGCCCTGGGACACCACGCTCTCAATGATGGGCTCCATGAGGGCAGGGCCTCCCTGCCTCACTGTGGTCTCTCCCGGCAGAGTCACTGATGGACTCCGTCAGGGCAGAGCCTCCCCGCCTCACTCTGGTCTCTCCCGGCAGAGTCACTGATGGTCTCCGTCAGGGCAGAGCCTCCCCGCCTCACTCTGGTCTCTCCTGGCAGAGTCACTGAAGGGCTCCATGAGGGCAGGGCCTCCCTGCCTCACTCTGGTCTCTCCCGGCACAGAGTCCCATGAATGTCATCATCCCAGACGTGTTAGGAATGAAAGACATGACATGTAAAGTGCAAACATGAGGGATTCTTATCCTCTAGAAAAAACCATCCCCAAACCCAGACGTGCTCTCAGGAAGCAGAGCGATACACCTTGGATGGCAGAGGTTTATTTTGTGTGGAATCCCAACACTAAGGAAAGTCATAACCAAAGGGGCTGCCTGAGCGAGGCCAGGGCTGCAGGGGGAGCTGGGGGCAGCAGGGAGGACAGAGACACCTGCAGATGCTCCCGGATGGAGCTGGCCTTGCCTGGGTGCTGGTGCAAGGTATGCGGCAGCAACACCATCTTTAGGATGTCACTGTGTAACAACAGGGTAACACCCAGATGGCCCAGCTGGCTCTGTGGCCGAGGCAGGATAGCTAGAGAAGGTAACCACATTGAACACACCACCACCTGACCAGCAACCACCTGCTGGGCGTCCCCCGGAGCTGCACTGGTCACCCCTCCCCACCGGTGGCACCAAATGTCCGCCAGCAAGGACGGACACATCGCAAGCTTGGAGCCTGCTGGAGGAAGGGCACAGGCCACCGGAGGGGATGTGGATGTTCTCTCTGTGCAGACAGGGCAACAACCGCAAACGTGTTCAACAGGGAAGAGCACGTATGGACCAGGCCAACAGGGGGCCCCAAACAGGAGTGAGAACAAGGGCGCCTGTGTTGTTTCATCGGCAATAAAAGTGGTACTGGGAGTTGGCAGGAACAGAGAGCGGGAGGGGAGGGAGTGAAACTTCGTAGCACATGCCTTCTTGGCTTCTGTTTGTTTTTAATCCTGT
Source organism: Homo sapiens (assembly GCF_000001405.40). NCBI lineage: Eukaryota > Metazoa > Chordata > Mammalia > Primates > Hominidae > Homo > Homo sapiens. The sequence goes on from NT_187569.1 coordinate 17,672, forward strand.
GAAAGTATCGATAGCCAAAAAACTAAATTTTAAAAAATCACCAAAAAAAGTGTGGAGAAAATAGAAAGAAATGAGGAATAGCAGGGACACCAAAAGACAGGAGGCGAATCGGCTGCCTCTGAGAACAACTGGGGTGGGCACAGGCTGGCGGGCATGGAAGCCTCGTCCTTTCTGCACCACCGCACAATGTTAGAGCTCTGCGCCTGGGCTACCTTCATTAAAAGTGAAGTTCCTTCTCAGAAACCTACCTGAAAGCCTTGATTCTCAGAAAACAACGCCTCTCTGAGCCAAGGGCATGGGAACCTGCAGGAGACAGCCTGGTCCTGGTGAGACCCTCGCTGGGCCCAGAGTCCAAGCGGGCCATGGCCCTGGCACTGCACGTGAGGAAACAAGGCCTTGGGTTTTTCTCCACCACACTTGCTGCAGACGAGGGTCCGGGACCAGACACGCCCAGAGGGCCCCAGTGCCCTGTGGTTGGGGTGGTGTTTCCTTCTGTCTCTCTCCCTGATGGGGCACAGCTGGAGGCATCTGCTCTGCTCTGACCATTTTTTTTTTTTTTTTTTTTTTGAGACAGAGTCTCGCTTTATAGCCAGGCTGGAGTACAACGACACCATCTCGGCTCACTGCAAGCTCCGCCTCCTGGGTTCACACCATTCTCCTGCCTCAGCCTCCCGAGTAGCTGGGACTACAGCCACCCGCCACCATGCCCGGCTAATTTTTGTATTTTTCGTAGAGACGGGGTTTCACCATGTTAGCCAGGATGGTCTTGATCTCTTGACCTCATGATCCGCGTGCCTCAGCCTCCCAAACTGCTGGGATTACAGCCGTGAGCCACTGCGCCCGGCCTGCTCTGACCCTTCTTAAAGCTCGAGCATGTGGCCCCAGTAAGAGCAGGGAAGGGACGAACAGCCCATCCTCACATGAAACCCGCAGACTGCTGTGTCAAGGTGGCATCCCTGTTCTCACCCTCACTGTGCAGAGTCCCTGAGACTTCCCCACAGGCACCATGGGCTTGAGTCCTGTGCTCACAATGTCCATGGCCCCAGAACATTCCCACAAGGAAAGGCTATCGGCAGCCTGCAGCCGCCCACCCTGCTGCCCACACTGCCCTGTGCACTGCTGTCAGCCACGCCTGAACAGAGACTCTCATTCTTCCTGAGGAAATGAAAACAAAACAGCAATGAAAACGACTTTACACCAGATCAGGTCAGGACCTTTGGTGGGTGAGGGAAGGAATGACCAATCCAAGACAAGAAATGCTCGGGAGCTGGGGGACAGTCCTGGAGACCAATGCAGAATGCAGAGAAAGCAAGACGCCGTGCCAGGGGAGGGCAGCTGGAAGCCATGCATGCGTCCACGGGGACCCCAAGAGAGGGAACCAGAGGGAACAATGGAGAACAGTGTTTCCAAGCAAAAGTGCACCCATGTGCCAAGTACTGTACATAAAATAAGTCCATATCCAGACTCATTGCCCTGAAGGACTAAAAGCTACCAGAGACAAAAGACTGGAGGGCTGAAAACATGTATAAATTCCTGGTACAATTTCTACAAAATGGTGGAGAGTCTAATTCTCCTTCCTCTAGCATAGGTGGCCCTAAAAACTCACTCCTGGCACACACAATGGGGGACCTGTGACCTCAGAGGTTGGGCTGGAAAAGGGGATAGAGCCTTCAGAGCCCTGAGCTGCCCTACCCTGAGGACACCATGCTATAACATCCACAAGATGGCACCAGCTGCTCCACGGCCCCAGCTGCTCCTCCAGGGCCCCAGCTGCTCTGATTTCCCCAGCAGAAGCCCCAGACATGCCAGTAAGATGGCTCATCCATAGCTCCTGTCTTGACTGTAGTCTCAGGAGACCCCATGCCAAGCTGCTCCTGAATTTCTGTTCCACAGAAACCAGGAGAGAGGATCATATACAACTATTTTAGGCCCCTACATTTTGGGGTAATTTGTTATCCAGCAAAAGTAACTGGAGCAATCTCCCACAAGGAAACAAGAGCTGAAGTTGTATCCAATTGCAGCACTCACAGACCCTCACTACAGAACTACTGAAGGGCTCGTTCCAGAAAGAAAACAGCCTAGGAGGAAACCATACTGAGCAAGGGCGATATCAGATATTGGAAACTCAATTTCTGGCTGTTTAAAAGCTTTTTATTCCGAAAGGTAGAGCAAGTTCCACTCAACAAGAACAACAACTGCCAAGGAGGGCTGCTCAGCCAGTGCCACTGTAGAGACGAGGCAAATGCAGAGCCAGCTCAACCCTAGCTTCCCAATGAATCTCTTGAGGAACTTTTAAAAACTCATTTTTTAAAGCTAGCTGAGCTGAATGACTTTGGGGCAAATAATGAAATTACGGCAGAAATCAAGAAGTTCCTTGAAACTAATGAGAACAATGATGCAGCATACCAGAATCTCTGGGACACAGCTAAAGCAGTGTTAAGAGGGAAATTCATAGCACTAAATGCCCACATCAGAAAGTTAGACAGACCTCAAATTAACAACCTAACATCACAACCGAAAGAATCAGAGGGCAAGAGCAAATCAATCCCAAAGCTAAAAAAAGACAAAAAAATAACCAAAATCAAAACTGACCTGAAGGAAATCGAGACACAAAAATCCATTCAAAAGATCAATGAGCAGGAGTTGGCTTCTTGGAAAAATTAATAAGATAGATAGGCCACTAGCTAGACTAATAAAGAAGAAAAGAGAGAAGATCCAAATAAACACAATTAGAAATGACAGGCCAGGTGCGGTGGCTCACGCCTATAATCCCAGCACTTTGGGAGGCTGAGGTGGGCAGATCACCGGTCAGGGGATCAAGACCATCCTGGCTAACACAGTGAAACCCCATCTCTACTAAAAATACAAAAAAAAAACCAATTAGCCAGGTGTGGTGGCGGGCGCCTGTAGTCCCAGCTACTTGGGAGGCTGAGGCAGGAGAATGGCGTGAACCCAGGAGGCAGAACTTGCAGTGAGCTGAGATCGCGCCACTGCACTCCAGCCTGGGTGACAGAGCGAGACTCCGTCTCAAAAAATAATAATAATAAATAATAGAAATGACAAACGTGGCCAGGCGCTGTGGCTCACATCTGTAATCCCAGCACTTTGGGAGGCCAAGGCAGATGGATCACTTTAGGTCAGGAGTTCAAGAACAGCTTGGTCAATGTGGTAAAACCCCGTCTCCACTAAAAATACAAAAATTAGCTGGGTGTGGTGGCACACGCCTGTAATTCTAGCTACTCGGGAGGCTGAAGTTGCAGTGAGCTGAGATTGCACCACTGCACTCCAACTTGGGTGACAAAATGAGACCAACTCAAAAAATAAAAAATAAATAAAAAGCAATGATGAAGGGAATGTTATCACTGACCCCACAGAAATAAAAATAACCATCAGAAACTACTATGAACACCTCTATGCACACAAACTAGAAAGCCTAGAAGAGACGGATAAATTCTTGGACATGCCTGTAATCCCAGCACTTTGGAAAGCCAAGGTAGGCGGATCACAAGGTCAGGAGTTCGAGACCAGCCTGGCCAACATGGTGAAACCCTGTTTCTACTAAAAATACAAAAACCAGCCGGGCATGGTGGTGCACGCCTGTAATCCCAGCTACTTGGAAGGCTAAGACAGGAGAATTTCTTGAACCCAGGAGGTGGAGGTTGCAGTGAGCTGAGATTGTGGCACTGCACTGCAGCCTGGGCAATAGAGCAAGACTCTGTCTTGGAAAAAAAAAGAAAAAAAAAATTCCTGGACACATACACCCTCCCAAGACTGAACCAGGAAGAAACTGATTCCCTAAACAGACAATTAACAAGCTCCGAGATGGAATCAGTAATAAATAGCTTACCATCCAAAAAAAGCCTAGGACCTGATGGATTCACAGCCAAATTCTACCCGATGTACAAAGAAGAGCTGATACCATTCCTACTGAAACTATTCCAAAAAATTGAGGAGGAGGGATTCCTTCTCAACTCATTCAATGATGCCAGCATCATCCTGATACCAAAACCTGGCAGAGGCACAACAACAAAAAATATATATATTCAGGCCAACATCCTTGATGCACATTGATGCAAAAATCCTCAAAAAAATACTTGCAAACTGAATCCAGCAGCACATCAGAAAACTAATCCACCACAATCAAGCAGACTTCATCCCCGGGATATAAGGTTGGTTCAACATATGCAAATCAATAAATGTGATTCATCAAATAAATAGGACTAAAGACAAAAACCACATGATTATCTCAATAGATGCAGAAAAGGGCTTCAATAAAATCCACAACTGCTCATGTTAAAAACTCTCAATAAACCAAGTATTGAAGGAACATACCTCAAAATAATAAGGGCCATCTGTGACAAACCCACAGCTACATCATACTGAATGGTAAAAGCTGGAAGCATTCCCCTTGAAAACCAGCACAAGGATGCCCTCTCTCACCACTCCTATTAAACATAATATTGGAAGTCCTAGCCAGAGCAATCGGGCAAGATAAGGAAATAAAGGGCATCCAAATAGGGAGAGAGGAGGTCAAACTATCCCTGTTTGCAGATGACATGATTGTATATCTAGAAAACCCCATCGTCTCAGCCCAAAAGCTCTTTCATCAAATGAAGCTGATAACTTCATCAAAGTTTCAGGATACAAAAATCAATGTCCAAAAAATCACTAGCATTCCTATACACCAACAACAGCCAAGTCGAGAGTCAAATCAGGAAGGCAATCCCATTCACAAATGCCACAAAAAGAATAAAATACCTAGGAATACAGCTAACCAGGGAGGTAAAAGATCTCTAAAATGAGAATTACAAAACACTGCTCAAAGAAATCAGAGAAAACACAAACAAACAGAAAAACATCCCATACTCATGGATAGGAAGAATCGGTATCATTAAAATGGCCATAATGTACAAAGAAATTTACAAATTCAATGCTATTCCTAACAAACTACCAACGACATTCTTCACAAAACTAGAAAAATAATTTTTAAATTCATATGCAGCCGGGCACAGTGGCTCACGCCTGTAATCCTAGCATGTTGGGAGGCTGAGGTGAGTGAATCACCTGAGGTCGGGAGTTTGTGACTAGCCTGGCCAACATGGTGAAACCCCATCTCTACCAAAAACTCAAAAATTAGCTGGGCATGGTAGCACACACCTGTAATCTCAGCTACTTGGGAGGCTGAGTGAGGCAGGAGAATCACTTGAACCTAGGAGGAGGAGGTTGCAGTGATCTGAGATCACATCACTGCACTCCAGCCTGGATGATAGAGAGACTCTGTCTCAAAAAAAAATTAAAAATAAATACATACATTCATATGGGACCACAAAAGAGTCCAAATAGATAAGGCAATCCTAAGCAAAAAGAAGCTGGAGGCATCATGTTACCTGACTTCAAATTATACTACAGTGCTACAGTATCCAAAACAGAATGGTACTGGTACAAAAACAGGCACCAACGGAACGAATGGCAAACCCTTACACCATATACAAAAATCAACTCAAGATGGATTAAAGACTTAAATGTAAAACCCAAAACTATAAAAACCCTGGAAGACAACCTAGGCAATACCATCCTAGACACAGGAATAGGAAAAGATTTCATAACACAGATACAAAAAGCAATGGCAACAAAAGCAAAAGTTGATAAATGAGATCAATAAATGAGCTTCTGCACAGCAAATGAAACTATCAACAGAGTAAACAGGCAACCTATAGAATGGGAGAAAATATTTGCAAGCTATGCATCTGACAAAGATCTAGCACTCCAGCCTGGGCGACAGTGCAAGACCCCGTCTCAAAAATAAATAAATAAATAAATAATAAAAATAAAAAAGTAAAAAAATAACAGATGCTAGTGAGGTTGTGGAGAAAAGTGAACACTTAACACTGTTGGTGGGAATGTAAATCAGTTCAACCATTGTGGAAAGCAGTATTCCTCAAAAAGCTAAAAGCAGAACTATCATTTGCCCAGCAATTCCATTATTGGGTATACACCCAGAGAAATATAAATCATTCTACCATAAAGATACATGCACATGAATGTTCACTGCAGCACTATTCACAATAGCAAAGATATGGAATCAATCTACACGTCCATCAATGATAGATTGGATTTTTAAAATGTGGTACATAAACACCATAGAATACTATGCAGCCATAAAAAAGAATAAGACCATGTCCTTTGCAGGAACATGGATGGAGCTGGAGGCTATTCTCCTTAGCAAACTAACACAGGAACAAAAAACCAAATACCACATGTTCTCACTTGTAAGTGGGAGATAAATGATGAGAACTCATGAACACAAAGGAAACCAGCGGACACTAGGGTCTACCTGAGGGTGGAGGGTGGGGAGGAGGGAGGGAGAGGAGCATAAAGGATAACTACTGGGTACTGGGCTTAATACTTGGGTGATGAAATAATCTGTACAACAAACCCCCGTGACATGAGTTCACCTATGTAACAAACCTTCACATGTACCCCCCCGAATCTAAAATAAAAGTTAAAAAAAAAAGTAGCCAAGGAAAAGTCCAATTTATCAGGTTCTCAACGTGATTTTAATGTGCAGCCAAGGTTGAAAATTATTGAAATATGAGGCCGGGCGCAGTGGCTCACGCTTGTAATCCCAGCACTTTGGGAGGCTGAGGCGGGCAGATCACCTGAGGTCAGGAGTTTGACGCCAGCCTGATCAACATGGTGAAACCCAGTCTTGACTAAAAATACAAAATAGCTGGGCGTGGTGGCATGTGCCTGTAATCCCAGCTACTCAGGAGACTGAGGCAGGAATCCACAATCGCTTGAACCCGGGAAGTGGAGGTTGCAGTGAGCCAAGATCGTGCCACTGTACTACAGCCTGGGCAACAAGAGTGAAATTCTGTCTCAGAAAAATAAATAAAAGAAAATTATTGAAATATGAAATAGAAACTCAGGCAAAACACACTAATAGGAAATCACAGAAACTACAAACAGTAAAAGGAACAGTCCATCAAGTTATAAACACGCACAACACCATGCCTGGCGTCTACCTGCCTGGGAGCTGCTGAAATGATGGAAAAAAGAGGCCCCTTCAATGGAAGCACAAGCTCCTCCACCTTCCCGTCAGGAACCTGCTTGCACGGAGAACCCCCACAAACACTGGCCATCAGAGACTCTGAAACACCCATGCCTCACCCTCTCGGTCTCATCAAACCTGCAGTTAAGACTCCCATGCAGAAAACTGATCTAGAAAAATCGAAGGACCTTCCTTATGGTGGAGAGGGAGCCACAGCTCGGGTCATGACAGGGACTGGACTTGTCCTCCTGTTGGAATAACTAGAAATTGTAATAACTATCAGGTCATGACAGGGACTGGACTTGTCCTCCTGTTGGAATAACTAGAAATTGTAATAACTATCGGGTCATGACAGGGACTGGACTTGTCCTCCTGTTGGAATAACTAGAAATTGTAATAACTAGAATGTGAAAGAACTGGCGCCGAAAAGGGAAACAAACAAGGTGAAACCCGCTCCCAGCCCGGCTCTGTGCAGGCACTTTCCAGACCACGCGGACAGAGCCGCGCCGTCTGCACGTGAGCACGGCTGTCTGGACTGCCGGACACGAGCACTGAAAGGAGGAGACAGTAGTGAACCCGAAGGTGGCAAATGGAATTATCCAAACTAAAGCCCAGTGGAAGATGAACACTGACCTACAGGACAACATGAAGCACCCCAACATATATATAACTGGAACCCTTTACCCAAAATAAAGGGAGAAGACAGTAAAAGTAGTTGAAAAAATAATGGTCAAAATTTTTCCAAATGTGAGGCCAGGCACAGTGGCTCACACTTGTAATCTCAGCACTTTTGGAGGCTGAGGCAAGTGGACTGCTTGAGCCCAGGAGTGTGGGACCAGCCTGGGCAACATGGCGAAACCCCATCTCTGCAAAACATACAAAAATTACCTGGGCATGGTGGCAGGTGCTTGGAGTCCCAGTTACTCGGGAGCTGAGGTGGGAGGATCAATTGACCCTGGGAGGTGGAGGCTGCAGTGATCTGTGATCACACTACTGCATTCCAGCCTGGATGACAGAACAAGACCCTGTCAAAAAAACTTTTTCCAAATTTGATGAAAACTGTTGCTGGCAGCGGCCAGTCAAGACGGCCTGCTGCTGCCATCACGCTGGCTGCAGCAGGGAGGCGTGGCCAGGGCTGCACACTCCATGGAGCTGGCAGGAGCCGGGGACAAGCAGGAGCCCCGCCCCTTCTGAGTTGGGGCAGAAGCTCCCCCTCATGCTGCTGTAGCTGCCCAAGCTGCTGCTGCAGACCCAGGGCCCTTGCTCCATGGAGCAGGAGGAAGCCCAGCCCTCCTGGGTGGTGCTGCAGCCACCCAAGTTGTGGCTGCAGATCTGAGCCTCCCTGTGTTCTTGGGTGGCTGGGAGCAGGCAGGAGCCCTGTCCTCCCAGGTGCTGCTGCAACCGCCCAAACCATGGCTGCAGACCCAGCCTCCTGCTCCACGGAGCAGGCAGGAGCCCCACCCCAATGGGCACAGCTGCAGCCACCCAAACATCCCTGCACTCTTGGGGGCCCAGGAAGGCCCCTCACCCTTGCAGACTCAGAAGTGCTCAGTCCCACTGCCTGGCTTCTCCCTGCTGTCAGCTCCCACTCCAGTCTTGGAGCAAAGTTGGGTCTGAGCCCAGGTGCCATGAACAGCAGCAGGAAGCAGACAGATTCCTGAGTGGAAGGGGGCAGGTCCCCGGTGAGGCCCCACCTCAGGCAAGAGATGGCCTGAAGGCTGGGGGCTGGGCTGCCAGTCCCATGGACTGGAGTGGGAAGTTGTGGTGCCTTTTCCAGACCCACCCATGGCCACCCATCAGCATGCAATTCCTCCCCTCTGAGGCCCATAAAAGCCCCGGGATCAGCCAGAGCTGAGCAGAAAACAGGACAACCAGCTGAAGAGAGGAGCTACCCTCTCTACTGAAAGCTTCAGAGACCTGCAGAGACACCAGGACTACTGGCTACAAAGAGGAGCAGCCCAATCCAGGGCTTCTTCTCTGCTAGGAGCTGGGCAGATGTTGGGATGGCCAGCTGCAGAGAGGAGCTACCCACTCCAGGGCCTCCTCTCTGCTGAGAGCTGAATGCTTATCAGGATGACCTGCCAGCAGAGAGGAGCCACCCACTCCAGGCCTCCTCTCTGCTGAAAACTGCAGAGACGACAGGACGACCTGCCTACAGAGAGGAGTCACCCACTGCAGGTCTCCTCTGAGCTGTTCTAACACTCAGTAAGGCTTCTCTTCATCTTGCTCACCCTCCACTTGTCTGCATACCTCATTCTTCCTGGATGCAGGACAAGAACTTGGGCAAAGGCGCCACTAGCCACCGAGGTTTCTGGCCAGAGAAGCGACACCCCAAAGACCCCGTAACACTATGGATGTGACAAACTTGATGAATGCCAAGCAGGAAAACACCAGACCAAAGTTCAGTCTTATCCAATTGCTACAAACCAGAAAGAGAAAACCTCATCAAAAGCAATGCACAAAAGAAGAAAGGGAACAGCATATCTAACATGCTAAATCAAACAAAACGATCAATCTAGAATCCCATGCCCAGTTAAACTATTCTTAAAGAATAAAACCAAAAACAAAGATTCTTTTCTTCCTGACAAACATAAGAGAATTAGTTGCCAACAGATACATACTAAAAGAAATATTAAATGAACTTATTCAGGCAAAAAGATAATACTGGATAAAAACTTGAATATGTAAAATGTAATAAAGAGCACTAGACATAGCAAATAAGGAAAAAAAAAAAAAAAAGGCCAGGTGTAGTGGCTCATGCCTGTAATCCCAATACTTTGAGAGACTGAGGTAGGAGAATCGCTTGAGCCCAGGAGTTCAAAACCACCCTGCTCAACATAGCGAGACCCCATCTCTACAAAATTTAAAAAAATAAAAAACAAATGTTTTCTCATTTTAAAATGTATGTGATTAAGAGGGTCAATTCATCAAGATTATGTAACAATCCTAAATGCGTATGCCTAGTTTAATAACACAGCTTCAAAACACATGGAAAAAAAAAGTATGGAACTTCAACAAGTAAGGGACAAATTCAAAAGTTAGTCTAAGGGGCCAGGCACGGTGATTCACATCTGTAATCCTAGCACTCTGGGAGGCTGTGGTGGGCGGATCACCCACTTGAGGTCAGGAATTTAAGACCAGCCTGGCCAACATGGCAAAACCCTGTCTCTACTAAAAATACAAAAAATTAGTCAGGCGTGGTGGCACACACCTGTAATCCCAGCTACTTGGGAGGCTGAGATAGGAGAATCACTTGAACCCAGGAGGCAGAGGTTGCAGTGAGCTGAGATGGTGCCACTGCACTCCAGCCTGGATGACAGAGCAAGACTCCATCTCAAAAAAAAAAAAAAAAAAAAAAAAAGTGAGTCTAAGCGTATATAAGACTGGATCTCTATCAAACCACTTTAACCAACATTTATAAAATGAGTTAATTAGACGAAATGGATAAATTCCTTGAACAACACAAACTACCAAAAATCACTCACGAAGAAATAGATAACTTGATAGCCAATGTATCTATTTAATAAATTGAATTTGTAGGTTAAGACCTTCCCACAAAGAAAACCCCAGGCCAAGGTGACTGCACTGGTGAACATTTAAGAACAATAATTAAAATTAAACATTTAAGAAAAATAATTTTGGCCTAGCATGGTGGCTCATGCCTGTAATTCCAGCACTTTTGCAGGCCAAGGTGGGTAGATTGTTTGAACCCAAAAGTTCAAGACCAGTCTCTGAAAAAAATAAATAAAATAAAATAACAAAATAAAACAATATTAATAAAAGACAAAAAAGGAAATGAAAAAGAAAAAGAAAACAGAAAAGAGGAAAGAAAGAAAAAATTAGCTGGGCATGGTGGTATGTGCCTGTGGTCCCAGCAACTCAGGAGGCTGAGGCAGGAGGATAGCTTGAGCCCAAAAGGTTGAGGCTGCAGCCAACTCTGATCATGCTACTGCACTCCAGGCTGGGCAACAGAGTGAGACCCTGTCTGGAAGATGCATTTCTCAACTCATTTATAAAGCCAATAGTACAAACTATATGCTGATCTCAAAACCAGACAAAGGCATTACAAAGAAAACTACAGACCAATATCCCTATGACCACAGATACAAACATCCTTAAAATTTAAAAACTTTAGCAAATTGAATCCAGCAATAAAGGATAACACAATCATATCCAAGTGGAGTTTATCTCAGGATTGCAAGATTAGTTTAACATTTAAAAAATCAATCAGTGTAATTCACCATATTAACAGACTAAAATAGAAAAACATATAAGCTTCGCAAAACAGGCAAAAGAAGCAGTTCACAAAATCCACCATTTATTCTAAATAAAAACTCAAAGCAAATTGAAAATAGACAGAAACTTCCTCAACTTGATAAAAGGTGCATGTCTAAAACCTATAGCTACAGTCAGCCCTCCACATCCATGGGTTGAACCAACTGGGGATTGAAAATATTTTTAAAATAAAAATAAAAAAACAACAATATAACAATAAAAGATAATACAAATTTTTTAATATGGCATAACAGCTATTTACATAGCATTAACACTGCACTGGATATTAAAATTAATCTAGGGATGATTTAAAGTACACAGGATGATATATATAGGTTATATATCAATCCTACAGCATTTCTTTCTTTCTTCTTTCTTTCGAGACAAGGTTTTGCTCTTTTTGCCCAGGCTGGAGTGAAATGGCGCGATCTTGGCTCACTGTAACCTCCGCCTCCCAGGTTCAGGTGATTCTCCTGCCTCAGCCTCCCAAGTAGCTGGAATTACAGGTGTCCACCACCACACCCGGCTAATTTTTTTTTTTTTTTGAGACAGAGCTTTGCTCTTGTTGCCCTGGCTGCAGTGCAATGGTGCGATCTTGGCTCACCACAACCTCCACCTCCTGGGTTCAAGCAATTCTCCTGCCTCAGCCTCCCAAGTAGCTGGGATTACAGGCATGTGCCACCATGCCCAGCTAATTTTGTATTTTTTAGTAGAGATGGGATTTCTCCATGTTGGTCAGGCTGGTCTCTAGCTCCTGACCTCAGGTGATCTGCTCGCCTCGGCCTCCCAAAGTGCTGGGATTATAGGTGTGAGCTACTGCGCCTGGCCACTACAGCATTTTTTAATCAGGGACCTGATCATCCTTGAATTTTGGTATCCACAGGGTGTCCTAAAACCATTCCCCATGGACACTGAGGGATGACTGTGTATCATAACAAACAGCGAAAGACTGACTGCTTTCCCCTCACTACTCTAACATGACACATTACCGGAGGTCCTAGCCAGTGCAATAAGGCAGGAAAAAGAAAAGGTAGAAGGATTAGGAAAGAAGAAATAAAACTATATTCATAGACAAAATGATTATATATGTAAAAAAATTAAAACATTAAATATTAATGTTTAATATTGGGGTAAATATTAAATTTAACCAATATTAGAAATAAGTTTGGCAAAATACATGCACTGAGTAGTACAAAGTACTGATGAAAGACATTTAAGAGGACCTGAATCATGGGGAGGTGTACCAGGTTCATGGATGTGGCAGCCCAACAGGGTTAGGGTGTAATAGCCCCATTGTCTTTCTGTCCAATCCTATTCTGTTCACTCACTCCACAGGTGCTAATCCCAAAAGCATTCCTCAGTAAACTTCCTAAAGACAAATCAACTCAGAGTCCACTTCCCAGGGAACTCGACACAAACAGCAATTAATAATATACACTGTAAAGGACATAATTACTGTAATCAAAATGACAGGCAGCTAGATAACCAGCAACATGCTGACCAGAGCCATTAGCCTACCACCAGCCTAACCACACATTCACACCCTGAAGGCTTGGAGGAAACACCTGGTAACTCCCAACACGTGCTGGGAAGCTGCTCATTTGAAGAATGCTTCTTAACACAATTAGATATGATCAAACGATGTTGCCTTTTTCAATCGTTTTTGACCTACAAAAAACTAAAGTTTCACGTGTTCAACTTTCTGTTTCCATTGAGTCCTGTCTTAACCATGACAAAACGTCTCTGAGGCCAATGAGTGCCCACTTTTCAATCACACCAGCCCTCTGATCTAAGAGTGGAGAGACAAGTGTTATTTCTAAGTCAATGTTCCAAGTTCAAGCTTAATTGGAGGACATTTTCTAGACTATTTCATGGGACCTAAACAAAGCAATCAGAGAATCCCAAACAATTTTTTGCAAAATCTTCCGGCCTTGGCTTATTCGCTGGTTCTGATGCTCTGCCACCCCTTCACAGCTCACTGACACATGCTCTCTGCAGAGCTAAGCTAACAATTGCTTCTCTCATCCCCATTCTCTGGCTGTCTTGAGGGGTCCACTTATTCAAGCCCCACTCTAACTGTGGGACGCCCCAAGATGCATTTCCCTCTACATGCTACCCTTTGAACTCCTCATTCTGTTCCCCCAGTCTCCGTTATAATCCCTCTGTAGCTAAGTCCCAATTCTCTACCCAACCACCTCTCTCCCAAATGCCAGGTTCACCTCAGTTTACAAATGCCAGATGGACATTCCTTGGGTGGTGTTCCCTCACCTGAATCACAATGCTCCTCCTCCCCAGATCACTCTTCCCAACCACCACATGCACTTGCATTGTGCATCTCTTTCTGTCCACAGCACATGCCACTCTGCCCCCGACCCCTGGGTCAAAGGTGTGGAATGCTCCCGTGTCTCCTCCTCCTGGACCCTAGGTCTCCACCACTGTCCATCCCATCCAGGGCACCTTGGCGTCAGCTCTGCAGCACCTATTCCCACAAGCCTGAATGGTCTCTCACAAATTCAAGACTGAATTCCCTCTTGCTGGCCTCTGGTTAAATAATATAAGATTATTCATGCTTTCAGCCTTTCCTCCCCTAACCCCATCTCACCCCTACTACCATATTAAAGAATCTCCAAAAAAGCCAGCCAAGGTCACATCACTTTCATCGTGATAAGCATTCACTGGTGCCTCTAAAATAAAGGGACAATCCTTGCATGAGCACATTCCTTGGAACTGCACTGTGCAACACACTAGTCACTTGTCACTATGCTTAAAGTAAAGTTGAGTAATATTTAATACTCAGTCTTGCAAGCCATGATTCCGTGCTCAGCAGCCACACATAGGACAGCAGGCTCTAGAAAACACTTCTCTCAGGATCTTGGCCCAGACTGACTTCCTACTTCTGCTCTGTTCCAATAAAAACCATCTCTAAATAAATAAATGAATAATTTTTTAAAAGGCTGGGTGGGTGGCTCACCCCTATAATCCCAGCACTTTGGGAGGCCGAGGCAGGCAGATCACTTGAGGTCAGGAGTTTGAGACCAGTCTGGCCAACATGGTGAAATCCTGTCTCTACTAAAAATACAAAAAAAACTTAGCTGAGAGTGGTGGTGTCCATCTGTAGTCCCAGCTACTCGGGACGCTGAGGCAGGAGAATTGCTTGAACCTGGGAGGTGGAGGTTTGCAGTGAGCTGAGATTGTGCCATCGCACTCCAGCCTGGGTGACAGAATGAGACTCCATCTCAAAAAAAAAATAGGCATGGTGGCACACGACTCTGTAGTCCCAGCTGCTCAGGAGACTGAGGCAGGAGGATCACCTGTGCCCAGGAGATGGAGGCTGCAGTCCAGTCTGGCTGCAGACGGCCCTCTCAGCACCGCCGTGAAAACACATGCAGTCCTACACAGGGTCCCAGCAGCTTCACCCACTCCGGGACCACCATGGCCCCTTCACACACAGGCAGTGTGGAGCAGAGGAGGCCATTCCACTCTACACACAGGAGGAGGCCATTCCACTCTACACACACAAGGCTCCCAAAGCTCTGTGAGCAACATCTCAGCCTCTCCCCGGCTCCTCTTTGCGCATTCGCGCGTGACACTCCTGCAGAGGTGGGCTCCACACACCAGCCACCTGGCCTCGGTCTCTTTCCTTCTAACAGGAACAGCACCCTCACTCCTGTGATAGTCTCAACTCTCTTGGGCCCATGCTTACCTGGCAAACACCTGTGGTTAACCCAGCACTCCCCATCCACACCTGCCGCTAAACACATTCAGAGGAAAACAGCCTCTAACCAGCCTTCCCCTTTCTCCCCTCCCAATCCTCACACCAGCCCAAGGCCTGAGGCCATCTGGCCACCAGGCTGGTCTCGAACTCCTGCCCTCAACTGATCTGCCCGCCTCAGCCTCCCACAATACTGAGACTATAGGTGGGAGCCACCATACAAATGAATGAATGAACGAGACGGGGTTTGCTGTGTTGCCCAGGCTGGAGTGCAGTGGTGTGATCACAGCTCACTGCAGCCTTGGGCCACTACCCGCCTCTCCATTATCCACCTTGGACCCCTCCTGTGTCTCTATTATCCACCTTGAACTGTTCCCTCCTCCCCATTATCCACCTCGAACTGCTCCCTCTCCCCACTATTCACCTTGGACAACCCCCCACCCCGCCCCCCTTTCCGCATCTCCATTATCCACCTTGGACAGCTTCCTCTTCCCCGTTATCCACTTTGGACTGCTCACCCTCCCCATTATCCACCTTGGGCCTCTTCCCTCATCCCCATTATCCACCTTGGACCGTTCCCCACATCCCATTATCTGCCTTGGACCACTCCCCACTCCCCATTATCTGCCTTGGCTTGCTCCCCTTCCCCATTATCCAACTTGGACCGCTCACCTTCCCCATTTTCCACCCTGGGTCACTTTCTCTCCCCATTATCCACCTTGGATCACTCCACCCTCCCCATTATCCGCCTTGGACCGCTCCCCCGTCAGCATTATCCACCTTGAACCCCTCCTTCCTCCCCATTATCCACCTTGGACCATTCCCCGACTCCCCGTTTATCCACCTTGGACCACTCCCCCTCCCTACTATCCGCCTTAGAGCGATTCCCCTCTCCCCGTTATCCACCTTGGACCACGTTCCACTCCCCATTATTATCCAGCTTGGACAGCTCTCCCCTCCCCATCATCCACCTTGGGCCGCTACCCGCCTCCCCATTATCCACCTTGGGTCACTCCTCCCCTCCCCATTATCCACCTTGGACTGCTCCCCGTCAGCATTATCCACCTTGAACCCCTCCTTCCTCCACATTATCCACCTTGGACCGCTCCCCCTCCCACTTATCCACCTTGGACCACTCTCCCTCCCGATTATCCACCTTGGGCCGCTCCCCACTCCCCATTATCCACCTTGGATCACTCCTCCTCCCCATTATCCGCTTTGGACTGCTCCCCACTCCCTATTATCCACCTTGGGCCATTACCCGCCTCCCCATTATCCACCTTGGCCAGCTCCCTCCTCCCCATTATCCACCTTGGACTGTTTCCCCCTCCCCCTTATCCACCTTGGGCCACTCCCCCCATCCCCATTAGCCACCTTAAACCGCTCACCACTCCCCATTATCCACCTTGAACCACTCCCCACTCCCCATTATCCACCTCGGGCCTATCCCCCACCCCCATTATCCACCTTGGACTGCTCCCCACACCCCATTACTCACCTTGGGTCACTCCCTTCTCCCCATTATTCACCTTGGACCAGTCCTCCCCATTTTCCACTTTGGGCCGCTCCTCACCTCCCCATTATCCATCTTGGGTCACTCCCCACCCCCCATTATCCATCTTGGACTGCTCCCTCCTCCCCATTATCCCCCTTGGCCCACTCCCCCCTCCCTATTATCCACCTTGGACCACTCTCTCCTCCCTGGTTAACCTTCCTCACTTGGCCTCTTGGTCACTAAAGCCCCTGTTTGTGCTGCTATAAAGGAATACCTGAATCTAGGTAATTTATTTTTTAAAAAAAAGGTTTATTTGGCTCACAGTTCTGCAGGCTGTACAGGAAGCACAGCACCAGCGTCTGCTTCTGGTGAGGCCTCAGGAACCTTCCATTCCTGGCAGACAGGAATGAGAGCTGGCATGTGGAGATCACACAATGAGAGATGGAGCAAGAGAGAGACAGCTCTCAAGGGAACTGAGTGAGAAGTCCCTCCTGAGAGAACGGACCAAGCCACTCATGAGGGAGCCACCCCATGTCTCCAACGCCTCTCACCAGGCCCCACCTCCAACACTGGGGATTAAACTTCAACACAAGACCTGGCGGGACTGAACAAACCACAGCCAACCACAGCAGCCTCCTTCCTGCTCCTAGGCCTCACGTGGCAGGAGGCTCCACGCTCAGCCCCAGGTACCCTCTCCAGCTACACCCATTCCCCGGGAGGCCTCCCCTAGGCTCAGGCAGGCCCTTCATCTCTATGCTCAGGACTCCCCAACCGACACTCCACGAACAACTTCTGACCACCATCTCCAATACTTCAGGCTCATAAATGCAGCATGTCCAAACTGAACTCCTGGGCTTCTACCAGGAAACTTTATTGGTTAACTTCAAGATAGGTGCAGAAAACTCAATAAACAAGATTAAAACAAATGAGGAGCCAGGTGCAGTGGCTCATGCCTGTAATCCCAGCACGCTGGGTGGCTGAGACAGGCGGATCACTTGAGGCCAGGAGTTCAAGACCAGCTTGGGCAACATGGTGAAAGCCTGTCGCTACGAAAAATACAACAATTAGCCGGGCATAGTGGTGTGCACCTGTAGTCCCAGCTACTTGGGAGGCTGAGGTGGGAGAATTGCTTGAACCCAGGAGGCGGAGGCTGCAGTGAGCTGAGATCATGCCACTATAATCCAGACTGGGTGACAGAGTGAGACTCTGTCCCCCCAAAAAAAAGAAAAAAAATGAGGACAAAAATAAAAACTATTTCCAGATTCCAACAGCCTATCCCCTCCACCTCTGCCACCTGAGTAGAGCCTGGGTTGCTGCGGTCAGCTCCTAACTGGTCTCCTCTTCCCTCCCTCCACATGGCAGCCAGCAGGATCCTTTTAAAACAGACAAGGCAGCAGTTTTCCCCAGCTTTGGGTGATGGCCACTACCCAACTTCAGCTTCCATTCTGTGAAGGGCAAGGCCACGTAAACAGTGGCCCCAGGACTCTGCCACTTCCTGCCTCAGCACCTGGCTGCTAGCCCCAGAGACAGGCCATCCAATGTGTGGTAATGGGAGATGGAGCTGCAGGACTCAGCCATGGTTATGTGGTTTGGCTGTGTCCCCACCCAAATCTCAACTTGTACTCCCAGAATTCCCACATGTTGTGGGAGGGACCCAGGAGGAGGTAATTGAATCACGGGGGCTGGTCTTTCCTGTGTTATTCTCGCGATAGTGAATAAGTCTCACGAGATCTGATGGGTTTATCAGAGGCTTCCACTTTTGCTTCTTCCTTATTTTTTCTTGCCACCACCATGTAAGAAGTGCCTTTCACCACCCACCATGATTCTGAGGGTTCCCCAACCATGTGGAACTGTAAGTCCAATTAAACTTCTTTTTGTTCCCAGTCTGGCAGCATGAAAATGGACTAATACAGTAAATTGGTACTTGAGTGGGGTGTTGCTGAAAAGATACCTGAAAATGTGGAAACGACTTTGGAAATGGGTAACAGGCAGAGGTTGGAACAGTTTGGAGGGTTCAAAAGAAGACAGGAAAATGTGGGAAAGTCTGGAACCTCCTAGAGACTTGTTGAACGGTTGACAAAAATGCCGATAGTGATACGAATAAGGTCCAGGCTGAGGTGGTCTCAGATGGAGATAACAAACTTGTTGAGAACTGGAGCAAAGATGACTCTCTTGTTATGTTTTAGCAAAGAGACTGGCAGCATTTTGCCCCTGCCCTAGAGATCTGTGGAACTTTGAACTTGAGAGAGACGACTTAGGGTATCTGGCAGAAGAAATCTCTAAGCAGCAAAGTGTTCAAAAGGTGACTTGGGTGCTGTTAAAAGCATTCCACTTTAAAAGGGAAACAGAGCATAGAAGTTCAGAAAATTTGCAGCCTGATGATGCAGTAGAAAAGAAAAACCCATTTTCTGAGGAGAAATTCAAGCCAGCAGCACAAATTTGCATAAGTAGCAAGGAGCTGAATGTCAATCCCCAAGACCACGGGGAAAATGTCGCCAGGCCATGTCAGAGACCTTCATGGCAGCCCCTGCCACCATAGGTGCAGAGGCCCAGGAGGAAAAAGTAGTTTTGTGGGCCAGGCCCAGGGTCCCTGTGCTATGTGCAGCCTAGGGACTTGGTGCCCTCTGTCCCAGCCTCTCCAATCGTGGCTGAAAGAGACCAACATAAAGCTCAGGCTGCGGCTTCAGAGGGTGGAAGCTCCAGGCCTTGGCAGCTCCCATGTGGTGTTGAGCCTACAGGTGCACAGAAGTCAAGAATTGAGGTTTGGGAACCTCCACCTAGATTTCAGAAGATGTATGGAAACGCCTGGATGCCCAGGCAGAAGTTTGCTGCAGGGATGGAGCCCTCATGGAAAACCTCTGCTAGGGCAGTGCAGAAGGGAAATGTGGGGTTGGAGTCCCTACTGGGGCATGGCCTAGTGGATCTGTGAGAAGAGGGCCACCATCCTCCTGACCCCAGAATGGTAGATCCACCAACAGCTTGCACCGTGTGCCTGGAAAAGCTGCAGACACTAAACGTCAGCCTGTGAAAGCAGCCAGGAGGGAGGCTATACCCTGCAAAGCCACAGAGGTGGAGCTGTCCAACCATGGGAACCCACCTTTTGAATCAGCATGACCTGGATGTGAAACCTGGGGTCAAAGGAGATCACTTTGAGCTTTAAAATTTGACTGCCCTGCTGGATTTTGAACTTGCAAGGGGCCTGTAACCCCTTTCTTTTGGCCAATTTCTCCCATTTGGAACTGCTGTATTTACCTAAAACCTGTACCCCCATTGTATCTTGGAATTAACTCGCTTGCTTTTGATTTTACAGGCTCACAGGCAGAAAAGACTTCCCTTGTCTCAAATGAGACTTTGGACTGTGGACTTCTGGGTTAATGCTGAAATGAGCTAAGACTTTGGGGGGCTGTTGGGAAGGCATGATTGGTTTTGAAATGTGAGGACATGAGTTTTGGAGGGGCCAGGGGTGGAATGATATGGTTTGGCTGTGTCCCCACCTAAATCTCAATGTGAATTGTATCTCCCAGAATTCCCATGTGTTGTAGGAGGGACCCAGGGGGAGGTACTCGAATCATGGGATCTGGTCTTTCCTGTGCTATTCTCGTGATAGTGAATAAGTCTCACGAGATCTAATGGGTTTATGGGGGGCTTCTGCCTTTGCTTCTTTCTCATTTTCTCTTGCTGCCACCATGTAAGATGTGACCTTCACCTCCCGCTATGATTCTGAGGGCTCCCCAGCCATGTGGAACGGTAAGTCCAATTAAACTTCTTTTTCTCCCCAGTCTTGGGTATGTCTTTATCAGCAGCTTGAAAATGGACTAATACACATGGCTAAAGGCGATCAGTGCTGGACAACACCCGGAGTGCTCCAGTTCTCACAGCAAAGCCCCAATACAGTGTTCAAAGCGACCCAAACAGGCCTCTGCCCACCTCCCGTGAAAAAGAGGAAGATAAAATGCCTGCTGTGGGAAATGTCCAAGCCCCTCCTCCTTGGTCCTGTCCCTTTGAACCTTTGTAAACTTTGCTCAAAAAATGGTAGAACCTTTGCACGCAAGGCCAAGTTTCTGCTACAGATTAATTTTTCCATAAAACCATTTCGAACCAATCAATTTTAATGTTTTGTTTATTCTAAATATAAGAGTTCAGACTCACATTCTATTAAAATTTATCCCCAAAGTGAAAAAGAAAGAGACAAGGCAGATGCAGCACCCTGATGCTCCAAGCCCACCCGCACCCCCATTGCCTGTCCCCAGGCAGCCTGGATGCCCTCCTGCTCCCACCTCACAGGCTGCCCTCCAGCACTGCAGGCTCACTCTGACCCTCCCTCCAGCCTCTGCACTGGGCATTCCCTCTGCCTGCACTCCTTCCCCCACAAGTGGTTTACTTCCTTCACCTGCCCAAATGAAGTGTCTTTGTGACTGAGGCCCACCTGACCCCACCCCCTTCCCAATCTCCAGGCCCTCCCTCATCCTGTCTCTGCAGCACTGACACCTACCAACTACTGCAGATGTCACATGTCACGTGTCTGCTTTTCCCTGCCCTGGGAGAACATAAGCTCCAAGAGAGCAGGGGCTTGGCCTGTCCTCCTCCCTGGGATGTCCCGGCACCTGGGACATCTTCTGTGTACACTAAGTCTCAATAAACAAACTGTTTACACCCTAAGGTCACGGAGATGACAGGACAGGAGAAGAAGTGTGACTGTGGTAAGAGGGAAAGTTCAGGAGTCATGGCACCTGGACTTGAATCCTGGCTCCGCCTACTAGTTGTGTGACCCTGGTGGGTCACAGCCCTCTCCAACCTTGGTTTCCTCATCTATGAAACAGGACCAAGAGCACCCACTGCATGCATTGTTCTGAGGTATAAATTATATAAAAACACAGAATGTGTTCAGAGCATAAGCATCAGATTACAGTAACAATGCCAACAGCAATGAAAATGGGCAACATTTATCTTCAAAACATTTTTCCTAGACTTTATGGAGAGTGACGGCTTCTTCTGACAAAGCAATGTTCAAACCATTGGGCGAGCTGAAAATGCCAGTATGTGCTTCATGGAATTGTGTTCACAGCCTTTTTTTTTTTTAACCTCCATTCAGGACTCAAAAAAGCTAGTGAATTCTTGGTCCCCTAAAAACTGGCACACTAGAGGATGGAATAGAAGTTATATATATATTTGTTTCCTCCCCATTTTTTCAGAAAGGAAATTTTAAGGCCAGGTGCAGTGGCTTACACCTGTAGTCCCAGCACTTCGGGAGGCCAAGGCAGAAGGACTGCTTGAGCCCAGGAGTTTGAGACCTGCCTGGACAACATGGCAAAATCCTGTCTCTACAAAAATACAAAAATTAGCTGAGCACAGTGGCATGCACCTGTAGTTCCAGCTACTCAGGAGGCTGAGGTGGGAGGAGAGCTTGAGCCCAGGAGGTTGAGGCTGCAGTGAGTCAAAATCGCGCCACTGCACTCCATCATGGGTGGTGACAGAGTGAGACTGTCTCAAAACAAAACATAACAAAAAATAAAAACCAATACTTAGCAGGAAGAGGAAGTATTTTTTAGAAGACTCATTGGCAATGAAAAACTCTGAAAATAAGGTTAAGAAAACAATTCCATTTAGAATAACATCAGAAGGAGTAAAATATTTAGGAATCAATTTAACAAAAGAAATGCACTTATATACTGAAAACTACAAAACATTGTTGAAAGAAATTAAAGAAGTCCTAAATAAATGGTAAGACATTCCATGTTCATGAAATGAAAGACAACATTAGTAAGATGGCAGAACACTCCACACTGATCAACAGAATTTAATAGATCCTTATCAAAGTCAAGCTTGCTGAAAAAAAACAATGAGCTTGCTTTTTTGAGGAAACTGACAGGCTGAAGTTCATATGGAAATTCAAGGGATCCACCAGGATAGCCAAAACAATCTTGAAAAAGAACAAAATGGGATACACCTTCTGACTTGAAACTTCTCACAAAGCTACCATAATTAAGACAGCGTGGCACGGGCATGAGGACAGATACACAGGACAACAGCACAGAGTTGAGTTCAGAAATAAACCCTCAAATTTATGATCAAGTAATTTTTGACAAAGGTGCCAAGACATTTCAATGACAGAAAGAAAGAACAATCTCTCCAACACATGGTGCCAAGCAACTGTGTTAAAAAAGCAAAGCAGGACCTTACCTCACACATGAACAAAATTAACTCAAAATGGATCAAACACCTAAATGTATATCAAAATGATATAAAGCAATGTATAAAAAATAGAAATGTAAGCCAGGCACAGTGGCTCATGCTGATAATCCCAACACTTTGGGAGGGTGAGGTGGGATGGTTGCTTGAGGCCAGGAGTTCAAGATCAGCCTGGGCAACATAGTAAGACTCTAAGAAAAAAAAATTTTTTTTAAATATAGAAATGTACAGGTAAGTCCAAAACTATAAAACTTAGAAGAAAACACACGAGTAAATCTTTTTTTTTTTTTTTTAATTTGAGACAGGGTCTTGCTCTGTTACCCTGGCTGGAGTACAGTGGGGCTTCCACAGCTGATGCAGCATCAAACTTCTGGATTCAAGCAATCCTGCTGCCTTAGCTTCCCAAGGAGCTAAGGCTACAGGTGTGCACCACACCTGGCTAATTCTATTTTTTGTAGAGATGGGATCTCGCTATGTTGCCCAGACTGGTCTTGAACTCCTGGCCTCGAACTCCTGGCCTCAAGTGATCCTCCCATCTAGGCCTCACAAAGTGCTGGGAATACAGGCACAAGCCACTGCACCTGAGCAGGAATAAATAAATAAATATATATGTATATATATATATATTTTTTAAACACAGTCTCACTCTGTCGCCTAGGGTGGAGTGCAGTGGTGCAATCTCGGCTCACTGCAAACTCTGCCTCCTGGGTTCAAGTGATTCTCCTGCCTCAGCCTCCTGAGTAGCTGGGACTATAGGTGTGTGCCACCATACTGGGCTAATTTTTGCATTTTTTAGTAGAGACAGGGTTTTACCATATTGGCCAGGCTGGTCTCGAACTCCTGACCTCGTGATCCGCCCACCTTGGCCTCCCAAAGTGCTGGGATTACAGGCATGAGCCACCATGCCCAGCCAGGAGTAAATCTTTATGATGTTGGGTTAAGCAATGATTTCTTAGCTATAATATCAAAGTACAAGCAGCAACAACAACGACAACAACAATTATTTCTATCAAAATTAAAAACTTTTGTGCTTCAAATGATACCATCAAGAAAGATAAAAATTCCAGCCAGGCGTGGTGGCTCACGCCTGTAATCCCAGCACTTTGGGAGGCCGAGGCGGGTGGATCACGAGGTCAGGAGATTTTAGACCATCCTGGCTAACACAGTGAAACCCCATCTCTACTAAAAATACAGAAAATTAGCTGGGCGTGGTGGCGGGCGCCTGTAGTCCCAGCTATTCAGGAGGCTGAGGCAGGAGAATAGCGTGAACCCAGGAGATGGAACTTGCAGTGAGCCAAGATCACACCACTGCACTCCAGCCTGGATGATAGGGCGAGACTCGGTCTCAAAAAAAAAAAAAAAAAAAAGATAAAAATTCCAAGGCCTTATGTACTGCAAAAAATAAAGAAAAAAAGAAAAAATAACCCACAGAATGGAAGAACACATTTGTAAATTGTATATATCTGATCCGGCACTTGTATACAGAATATATAAAAAACACATAACTCAGTCATAAAGGATAAGTAGCCCATTTGAAAAATGGGACAGGATATGAATAGACATTTCTGCAAAGATGATGGACAAATGGTCAACAAACACAAGAAAAGA
This sequence comes from Homo sapiens, assembly GCF_000001405.40. Lineage (NCBI taxonomy): Eukaryota > Metazoa > Chordata > Mammalia > Primates > Hominidae > Homo > Homo sapiens. Next base: position 42,002 of record NT_187569.1, read on the forward strand.
TGCTCAACATCATTAGCCATTGGGGAAATACAAATAAAAATCACTGAGATGTCACTTCACATCCACTGAGATGGCTTTAATCAGAAGGATGAACAATCACAAGTATTGTCAAGGATGTGGAAACATTGGAACCTTATGTATCGCTGTGGAAACGTAGGACGGGGCAGCTGCTTTGGAAAACAGTTTGGCATTTCCTCAAAAGTAAACATAGAATTACCATATGACCCAGCAACTACACAAATATTCATAATAGTCAAATATGGAAACAACTCAAAATGCCCAGCAATGGATGAAAGTCTAAAGGAAACGGGGTTGACCTGTACAACGGAACGTCCCTCAGCAATAAAAAGCAACAGAGCTCGGATGCATGCTAGAGCGTACCGGGAAGCAGGATCAGGGCCTGGGACCAGGCGGCTGTAAAAAGCAACAGAGCTCGGACGCATGCTAGAGCGTACCGGGAAGCTGGATGAGGGCCTGGGACCAGGCGGCTGTAAAAAGCAACAGAGCTCGGACGCGTGCTAGAGTGTACCGGGAAGCAGGATCAGCACCTGGGACCAGGAGGCTGTGCCCGGGTTCACCACACTGCTCCATCACCCTCCTCACCGGGCCATCGAGCCTCTGAATCCCACACCTCTGCCATCTCCCCTCAGCCTCAGCCCCACTGTCATTCACCTAAACCACAGGTGGCTCAACCATTTCTGTATTTCCTGTCAGTCTCCTTGATGTGCTCCGGACATAAAAGCCTGGGCAAGGCTTCAAGAAGACTATTTTGGGTGGGCTCTTGGTGCAGTCTGGCTGGCTGCCTCACTTGTCCTGCCTCCCGCCCTGCTCCAGGCTCCCTGGGCTCCTGCCATCCGGTCCTGCTAACCCCAGGGCTGCCACATGAGCTGATCCCCACCATCTTCTCCTGCAGGCCCCAGACTCAATCTCCCTCCTGGAGGCTTGCCCTGAGCTCCTCATCTAAATGAAGCATGCTAGATTTGCTGTCACAGCCTCATCCCCGTCCTTCAGACCACACACCGCAGCTGCCAACTGTGTGTATCTGTTTCCTGCACTAGACTCTGAGCTTCAAGAGACAAACGCTTTACCCCTGCACTGCCAGCCCCGAGCACCACTGACCGGCACTCAGTTATCCATGGAATGGATGACCAGAAAGGCACGACCACCTAATCCAGCTCTGATGACGCTGCCTGGTGCTGCTCCCTCCTCCCACACCAGAGACCCCCACCACACACATGTGCTCACACTCAGGACACACAGTGCTGCCAAGCCTCAGGGCCGCCAAGCTTCTCCCGAAACCCAACCAGGGCCCTTCACATACCAAGCACATGCTAATTAATTCCAGTTTGTAAATCCTAATGTCAGTTCTCTCTGTGGAATGAGGCCTATGTTGGGTGTCTCACCCATGCCAGGCTCTGCGGGTCACTGACAAGAGTCTCTGCCCTGCAGCATCTCCCAGCCAGGGGCACAGGGTCACCAACAGGCAGATTCTGCAAATGACTTACCATTTAAAATACATCAGAATGGGTCAAGGGTGGATAATAACTTCACGTAAGTTCTGATGTTTTCCGCAAAAGAAATGAACGAATAAAGCTGGAGTTAGAAAGAAGCTATTGCCAACCCTTTCACTCTTCCTAACTGCATGCTGACTCGGAAGGTGGGGCTCAAGCTGAGAAGTGCTCCCCTTCAGGAGACAGTGTCACTCTACACGCTGCAAACACCACCCTCCCACCTGCTCCCTGACCCCCAGATGCCTGCTCACCTGGGCTCTCGCCAACACTCCAGTCACAGAGCTGCCGGCTCCGGCCACACATCCCTCCCGCCTGAGGCTCTTTCTGTGCCTGGTGAATAGCCCAAGGCTCAGCTGCTGATACTCCTCCTTTCCAGACAAGACACCCCTTCTCCAGAAAGCCTACCTGAACTCCACGCCCCTCCCGGCCAGCCACCCTAGGGTTCTCCCTACGACCCCAGGCACACGGCCACCTCTGCTGTCCACAGGATGTTAGCACAACTCACTCCCGTGTCCCCCACCAGAGGCCTGGTCTGTCTCCTCCCTGTCGGGGGTATCTGACTGGCAAGTGGCTGGCACATACAGGCAACAGTAAAGACAGGGGCGAGATGAGTGTGGGTGGGCCTGGCAAACACAAGACCAGGTGTGAGAGCCCTGCCAGAGCAATGGAGACAGGCTCCGCCCAAGTGAGGCTCATCCTGGGCCCCAGTGGCCTTGGGCAGAAAGCCCCACACTGTTCCTGGACGCCGTCTGTGATTCCGGCACATGCTGTAAACGAGGGTCTCAGGGACGTCACAGCACTACCCCCTCCCACATGTGGGAATTTCCACAGCACGCCTGAATTCTGAATAGAAAATAAAAGGTCAACACAGCCGCAATTAAATAGAAACAGCACCTAGAGTTTCAGAAGCTGCTCCCCTTTATCAGCCACACATGCAGCAGGCAGTCAGATTCCGGGGAAACTTACACTGCAGAGGCTTCAGCACAGCTCTGAGTGGCAGGAGGAACATGCTGGCCACCTCTGTGATCCCAGGGAATGCTTGAAGGGACCGTAACAGAAAACCACTAGGAGTATCTCAAGGCTAACAGTAAACTCAACCCATGAAGGAAGCATCAGCCACTCTGTCAGGATAGTGTTGGGGCCTCTAGTAGTTTAAAGTAATAATCAAGAGAAAAGGCAGGAAAGATGAAAGGAGCATGGCAAGAAAGGAAAATAGACTCAAACACTGTTGGCCAGACAAGGGGTTCTGGACCCTGTGTCCAGCACCCTGGCTGCCAGGAGCTGGGGAGACAGCAGTGCTCCCACGCCTCACATCTGTCTACACCACCATCAACTGTGCTCTGTGTGCGCCTAGACCAGCCTGCAAGAGGCTGGTTCATCAGCCTCTTAGTGTTGATATTAATTTTTAAAACTCCTATTATACACAAATAACAGTAATTTACAGAACCCACTGAGACTCAGCCATTCTTCAGCTTCACAACAACCTTGAACAAATAAGCAGGACAAGCATCTTATCTGCAGATAAGAGCTCGAGTGCTTAACTGACTTATCTGTGCTCAATCACACAGGCAGCGATTAAGTCAATGTTTAACTCAAGTCTTCTGCACGGAGACCAGTGTAGCATCGCTACCACCTGAAATTTGACGCTGATCAGGGGCCAGGCACAGTGGTTCATGCCTGTAATCCCAGCACTTTGGGAGGCAGAAGCGGGAGGATCACTTGAGCCCAAGAGTTCAAAACCAGTCTGGGTAACAGGGTGAAATCCTGCCTCTACAAAAATTACAAAAATTAGCTGGGCATGGTGACATGCACCTATTGTTCCAGCTACTTGGGAGGCTGAGGCAGGAGGATCGCTTGAGCCCAGGAGGTCAAAGATACAGTGAGCAGATATCATGCCACTGCCCCCTAGCCTGGGTGATAGATTGAGAACCTGTCTCAAAAAAAAAAAGAGGAAGAAAGAAAAGAAACTGATCAGGGACTCATCGCCTTGCCACAGCCCCCAAGAACACACCCGCACCAAGGCCCTCTGCGGGCATGCAGCCTTCTGACTCTCACCTTGGAATGTTCTCTTCTGAAAAATCCTAGTCACTCCTGTTTTTAACAGCTTCATTGAGATAGAATTCACATTACATACAATTCACCCAATTAAAGTATATGATTTTAGGTTATTTTTAGTATATTCACAGATATGTGCAACCTTCACCACAGTCAATTTTAGAATATTTTCATTATGCTAAAAGAAATTCCATACCTCTTGGCTGTCATCCCCTAGCCCTTGGCAACCACTAATCTACTTTCTATCTCTACAGATTCACTTCTTCTGGACACTTCACATAAACGGAATTGTCATGAGATCCTTGGGGTGTCGCTTCACCAGCCAGAAACCGCTGTGGCCAGTGGTGCCTTCTGCCTGAGTATTGCTCATGCCCACTGGGATTGTTCCGCCCACTCAGGCCGGCAGACTGCTCTCAGCTCACACTACCGGCCCAGATCCCACACCTGCCAAGTGCAAGCCAGGTGCAAAGTGGCAAGGGGTGTGTGGGCAAGCAAGCGCAGGGTCAGGCCACCGTGCATAGCCAGGCATGCCAGCTGCAGCGGGGCAGGCTGCTCCAGGTGCCAGCTCTGTGCGAGGCTGCGGCTTGACCAGATGTACTGCATGTGGCTTCCACTGTGGGCACCTGCATCTGGATGAGGGGAATGCAGTGGCATCCAGAAGCTTGGAGATGCCAGGAACCACAGAACCCCAAAGAGGGTGTCACAGCCCTGGCTCGAGGAGACCCTAGGTCTGGGCTCCCCAAAGTGCTGCAGCTCTTCTCTCCTTTTCATTACCTGCAACGTGGTGAGTGGTGGGGGGCGGTGGTCGGGGGGAGTGTGTGTTTCAGCCCTGTTTGTGTTGCAGCTCATTTAGTCCCGCCATTCAGCAGGTCCCAAGTTCCTGTCACATGTCCAGGTAGAATGAGGTACGTGAACAACTGGAGAGTGAGCGAGGTGGAGAGGAGCTTCACTGTGCGACAGAACAGCTCTTGGGAGACCCACAGTGGGTAGCTCCTTTCCGCATACGGGTTGTCTTGACGACTGTTCAGGTCTCAGCAGAGAGGAGACTCGGACTGGTTAGCTCCTATCCTATCTGCAGGCAGGCTGTCCTGTTGTTTGCCTGAGTCTGGCTGAGTCCAGGGTTTTTATGGGCTTCAGAGGGGAGAAAGTATGTGCTGAATGGTTCACGGGTGGCCATGGGCAGGCCCAGAAAAAGCACCATAAACTCTTACTCTGGTCCATGGAACTGGCAGCCCAGCCCCCAGGCTTCAGGCTGTCCCTGACTTGAACATGGGGCTTCATCAGGGACCTGCCCCTTTTCACCCAGGAGCCTGTCTGCCTCCTGCTACCATCAACCTGCCGTCCATGGTGCCCAGGCTATTTGTGCTGAGGGGCTCCTGCAGGCCTGCACCAAGCTGCCCTCAGCCCCTCCTCGGGCTCCCTCCTGTGCTCGCTCGTCGGCACCCAAAGTCCGAAGGCGGCCGAGAAGGCAGGGGGCTGGCATGTCAGTTTTGCCCCAAGTGCATGTACACCTGGCCAGGTTGCAACAGTGCCTGGGCTCAGCCTCAACTTTGTTCCAAAATTGACGTGGGGACCAGGAGCAGGGAGAGGCCAGGTAGCGGGAGGAGGCTGGCCTGCTTCTGAGTCTGCAGGGGAAGGGGGGCTTCCTGAGTCCCCGAGAGAGCAGGGATGTCTGGGTCCATAGCCACAGCTAGGCAGCTGCAGCTGTGCCCAGGAGGGCCAGGCTCCCACCCCTCCAACTTGGAAGGGGGTGCAGCTCCTGCCTGTTCCCAGTTCCCACCAGCTCCATGGACCATGCAGCCCCAAGCCTCCCCAGCTGCAACCAGCGTCATGGCAGCAGCCACTCCAGACAAGCCACCAATGCCATTAGAATCATACAGTATGTCTCCAGCTTCTTTCACTTAGCATTTTTTTTTTGAGACAGAGTCTTACTCTGTCACCAGGCTACAGAGCAGTGGCATGATCTCGGCTAACTGCAACCTCTGCCTCCCGGTACGCCACTGTGTCCAGAATTGGTGGGTTCTTGGTCTTGCTGACTTCAAGAACGAAGCCGCGGACCCTCGCGGTGAGTGTTACAGCTCTTAAAGATGGTGTGTCCGGAGTTTGTTCCTTCTGGTGGGCTCGTGGTCTTGCTGACTTCAGGAGTGAAACTGCAGACCTTCGTGGTTAGTGTTACAGCTCTTAAAGATGGTGCGTCTGGAGTTGTTCATTCCTTCCGGTGGGTTTGTGGTCTCGCTGGCCTCAGGAGTGAAGCTGCAGACCTTTGTGGTTAGTGTTACAGCTCTTAAAGGCAGTGCATCTGGAGTTGTTCGTTCCTGCCGGTGGGTTCGTGGTCTTCCTGGCTTCAGGAGTGAAACTGCAGACCTTCGTGGTTAGTGTTACAGCTCTTAAAGACGGTGCGTCTGGAGTTGTTCATTCCTTCCGGTGGGTTCGTGGTCTCGCTGGCCTCAGGAGTGAAGCTGCAGACCTTCGTGGTTAGTATTACAGTTCTTAAAGGCAGTGCATCTGGAGTTGTTCCTTCCCTCCGGTGGGTTCGTGGTCTTCCTGGCTTCAGGAGTGAAGCTGCAGACCTTCGCGGTGAGTGTTACGGTTCATGAAGATAGCATGTCCAGAGTTGTTCCTTCCTCCCGTCAGGAGTTGTTCTTCCCTCCCAGTGGGTTCATGGTCTCGCTGGCTTCAGGAGTGAAGCTGCAGACCTTCTCGGTGAGTGTCACAGCTCATAAAGGCGGCGCGGACCCAAAGAGTGAGCACCAGCAAGATTTAGTGCGAAGAGCAAAAGAACAAAGCTTCCACAGCATGGAAGGGGACCCCAGCGTGTTGCCGCTGCTGGCTTGGGTGGCCTGCTTTTATTCCCTTATCTGGCTCCACCCACCTCCCACCGATTGGTCCATTTTACACAGAGCTGATTGGTCCGTTTTGACAGGGTGCTGATTAGTATGTTTACAAACCTTCAGCTAAACACAGAGTGCTGATTGGTGCATTTACAATACTTTAGCTAGACACAAAAGTTCTCCAAGTCCCCACTAGATTAGCTAGACACAGAGCACTGATTGGTGCGTTTACAAACCTTGAGCTAGACACGGGTGCTGCTGACTGGTGCGTTTACAAACCTTGAGCTAGACACACGTGCTGCTGACTGGTGCGTTTACAAACCTTGAGCTAGACACACAGTGCTGATTGGTGCGTTTACAAACCTTTAGCTAGACACAGACTGCTGATTGGTGTGTTTACAAACCTTTAGCTAGACAGAAAAGTTCTCCAAGTCCCCACCCGACCCAGAAGCCCAGCCGGCTTCACCTCTCAATGGTGGGACTTCACGGCACCTAGCCCGGGCACTCCGGCAGCCCAGAGGAAGCTCGTCCCAGATCAAGCCCAGCAGGCGCCAGCCACAGCACCGGCTCCCGCCCACGCCTCTCCCTCCACACCTCTCTGCGAGCAGAGGGAGCCGGCTCTGGCCTCGGCCAGCCCCAGAGAGAGGCCCCCACAGCGCAGCAGCTGGCTGAAGGGCTCCTCCAGCGTGGCCAGAGCGGACGCCGAGGAGGCGCCGAGAGCAAGCGAGGGCTGCCAGCACGTTGTCACCTCTCACCTCCACGCCCAGCTAATTTTTGTACTTTTAGTATAGACAGGGTTTCACCATGTTGGTCAGGATGGTCTTGATCTCTTGACCTCATGATCCGCCCGCCTGGGCCTCCCAAAGTGCTGGGATTAGAGGCCTGAGCCACCGTGCCTGGCCTGCATATTTTTAAGGTTCACACACGTTATAACATGAATCAGTAACTCACTTCCTTTTATTGCCAAATAATATTCCATTGCAGGAATGGACCACATTGTGTTTATCCGTTCATCCGCTGATGGACATTTAGGTTGTCTCCACTTTCTGGCTGTTGTGAACACTCATGGACAAGCTTCTGCGTGGACGTGTATATTTCCAGTCACTCAACCAAAAGAACACACAAAAGGTGAACCAGTTTCCAACTGAGACATTCATTTAATTTGACCTACTATATTATTTAAAATATAGAGAGATGAGATAATTAGGAGAAATAAATGACCAAAGGAAGTGCAGAAATAAAGACACTAAGAGACAAGAGCAAACCCTGATGTGACGGAATAAACGGTGATTGAAGAAAGAGATGCTATTTCTAGGATGGGTCCTACAGGTACATTTGCAAAACACTGTGCCTATAGCCTTGCTGGTAACAGCATGAAAATTCCACAGCACCTCCATACAGCCAAATACAGTGCGGCCATGGAAAGAATGTACCGGAAAATGTACTGATATGGAAAGATCTCTCAAACATAGTTGAAAAAGGCAAGGTTCAGAAACTTTTTAAAAAGAAAAGGGTAAGGAAAAAAACAGAATACATACACTTGTTTGCTTGCAAAGTTACAAAGTATCTCTAGAAGGATACACAAGAAGCTGGTCCAGCAAAGCTTCCAGGGGAACCAGGTTCCAGGGTAGAGACTAGGAGGCTTCACTGAGCTCCCTTTGTACTTTTGAACCACGTATATTATCTGCTCAAAAATGTTAAACAAAATTGAAACTTTCTAGGAAGCAAAAATAGAGAATCTGTGAGAATCAAGACATTTACACTTAGGAAAGCAAGTTACAAGAGAGGCCCAGGAAGATGGAAGCAGCCGACGTGGGAAATGTGTCAACGAGTCCCTCCCCCTGCTGCGCCAGCCATTCTCTGAGGGCAACTCCCCATCCTAAACCCAATCATCTTTACTGAAGCCAGTGCTCAAAGAAAATGTTGCAATCTGCAGCAAGACATTCAGAACACAAACAGCCAAGTGCCATGGCTCATGTCTACAATCCTGGCACTTTCGGAGGCCGAGGTGGGAGGATCACTTGAGCCCAGGAGATGGAGGCTGCACTGAGCTGTGATCATACCACTGCACTCCAGCCTGGACAACCCACCCTGACTCTCTCTCTAAAAAAAAAAAAAGAAAATACAAATGTATCTGCTGCCCTCAAGGACTTCCCAGTCTAGAGGGGAGAAAATATTATGTGATTGTGCAGTGACCAAAAGCACCACCTAGAGCACTACGAGAGGGGGTGGAGCACCTGAGGACAAGGCAGCGATCCAGGAGGCGCTCCCACAGACATTACCTGAGTCTGAGTCAAAGGGCTGAAGGAACCAGTGAGCTTGGCTTAGTTTTGGAAGGAGGGACGCCAAGAAAGACTTGGCCCATGACCACATGGCAGTTTTTCTGGAGAGCAGAGTAGGTTGGGGTCACGCAGCGCTGTGGAGCATGGTCCAGGAGGCACTGGGGAGCCAGGGAGGAGAGCCAGGCAGCAGAGTCACTCGCCTAGACGCTCTGAGCCTGGCGCCATCCTGTGCACTGTAGGATTTCAACAGCATCCCCAGCCTCCACAAATCCTTGGCCATCCCCTCCTAGTTGGGACAACCAAAAATGTCTCCAAATATTGCCAAATGTGGCAGGAGGGCGGGGAGTGGTGTCAGAATCACCCCTGGGGAGATCACTGCCCTGTTTATATCATCTGAGCAGCTATGTGGCAGAGACAGGGGAGTGGCTCAAGGCTGGGGCAGGAGAGCCCCAGGAGGTACAGCGTAGTGCAGGAGGGACATGGTGCAGGTCCCACTCAGGCAGGGGTTCTGATCACTGTTCAGGGGGAACTGGCAAGAGGACCTGGAGCCGTACCACATGGCAGCTGAGAGGGGGACCCAGCACGCCAAAATTCTAGGTGGTGACCAAGCAGGTGAAGGTCCCAAAGCCCCAAAGGGTTGAGGCCAGAAGTGAATGTGGGTGCTGAGTCTGAGCCGCCTCAGGGGCTCTCGCGCATGGTGGCCGGCTCCAGCGTCCAGCATCTGCGGCTGAGGGGAGACATCCAGCTGCACCTTCAGTCATGGTGAGATGGCCCAGACAGCAGGTACGGGCTCCTCAGCTCTGCTCAGCACAGCGTCCGAGCAGGGGCTCACCTTCCCCATAGGAGGCTGTACGTCACACCCTGCTTTGGTCCGTGGACCCTGAGATGCCAGTCCAGGATGGTGCCGGAAAAGACACTAGGTTTCTGCCACTCTCTTGCCATAAAAACAGCATGTGCCACATAAGGCCTGGTCCTGGATCTGGAAATGAAGACTCTTGGAAAAGAGTCACAAGCAAACGAAACGCGGGCAGGAATCAGCCTCTGCTGCTGTGAGCGCTGCAGTGCTGGGGTTGCTACTGCAACTCGCTCTGGAGAAAGCTGTCCAGTAAACTCCTGGATTTGGATTTCTTCCTTCACCAACCCATCCTACAGAACATTGCCAATTAAATCTCCCTAAACCATTAATCAGGACATCCCCTGCTCACAAAGCTGCCTGCGGTGGCTCCCGGTTAGCTAGAAAATTAAAATCTAGGCCGGGCGCAGTGTCTCACGCCTGTAATCCCAGCACTTTGGGAGGCCAAGGCGGGCGGATCACGAGGTCAGGAGATCGAGACCATCCTGGCTAACACAGTGAAACCCCGTGTCTACTAAAAACACAAAAAATTAGCCGGGCATGGTGGTAGGCACCTGTAGTCCCAGTTACTTGGGAGGCTGAGGCAGGAGAATGGCGTGAACCCAGGATGCGGAGCTTGCAGTGAGTCGAGATCGCGCCGCCGCACTCCAGCCTGGACGACAGAGCAAGACTCCATCTCAAAAACAAAAAGAAAATTAAAATCTAAAGCCTTTAACTGGAATTCAAAGACCTTCTCATTATGACCCTTATCTCCCATTATTCCTTACACAACCTTTAAACCGCTAGAAACCACACATAACCAACCTTCTCACCTTTGCTCCCAAAATGTGAAAATACTTCTGTCTGCAGTGCTATGTCCCTACTCTTCCCTCTTCATATCCCACTGAGTACGGTTCAGCTAGAAGACCACCTCGTCTTGAAGCCTCCCTTCACTGCTGCAGCCCCCTGCAATTATCTCCCCTTTAAACTTCTAAAGCAAACTTTTCTGTAAATGGCCCAGATAACAAAGGGTTTAGGCTTTGCGGGCCGCACAGCCTCTGCACAAGGAGTCAGTTCAGCCAGAGCGGCCATGGACAATACAGAAAACACAGAAATAAGCAGGCGCAGCTGTTGAATAAAACCTCATTTACAAAAACACGCAGAGGAGTCTGCCAGGGGGCTGCAGTGTACTGACCCCTGGTCTGGAGTACGGGTTAGGCCTTTAATCACAGAAGGACTCATATCCGTAGCAGATTTTTTCTTTTTAAGTTCCCCGAAAGCATGTCTGTGGCACTACAATGTACGTACAACTGAGCATAAATTAGATGTTCGATTTTAAAACTACAAAACAATACTTGGAAAACACTTGCATACAAAATTGAAAAAAAAATTATTAATGCTAAATATTATGGTTTTCCCACAGAAATCCAAAAACTCAAAAGAAAAGGAGGGGAAAGCCACACTAAATGTTGCACCAAGAAAAATTCCACCCAATGGATCATAATAGCGGCCACTAATCTCTTTTCACAATACACGAACTATGTCAAAGACTGGTACGAGTTTCATAACAAGATTATCAATGGAGGGGGGTGCTATTTCATGTTAACAAAACTCAGATATATGATAATAAAATTACTTTGTCACCATCACATTTCAGGGGGTTAGCAGGATGGCAGGCACCAGTGACCAACACGAGTTTTAGGGAAGACTACCCCTGCAAAATCCTGGTCTCAGGTGTCTTGATACCAAACACAGCAGAAGTGGCAGAGGAGTTGGCGTGCAGACCAGCTGAGGAGGAGGATCACAGCAGGTGGAAACAGTGTGGCCAGGGTATGGAAGTCAGGGTCAGACTCAACCTCAGGGCACAGCAAAGACTTGTCAGATAAACTTGGGAACAAGTCTAAGTGGCAGATGAAAGACACAACGAGGCAAGCACAGTGGCAGCAGAGACAGCCAGTGTCAGAGGGTAAGGATTTCACTTGTTGAAGCAAGAAAGGTAACGAGAAGGGACAGGAGACAGGCCAGGCAGGGTAGTCCAGCTCTGCGAGGGAGTCTGTCCAGCTCTGCGAGGGAGTCTGCTCCACAGGCTGAACACCAGAGTCTACTCTTTTGAGCCATGCCTTGTGGTGTCTTTACAGGACACCTGCAAAGCTAACTGTGAGACGGATCGCATAAGGTCTATGACGCAGGACCTTGAGTCAACGAAGAGGCACAGCAGAGGGGCTTTGCTAGTAGAAGTAGGTGTTTCAATATAAGAGCGTATTTCATGGACTTTTTTTCAACAGCACCAAAGAAGCCAGTACAAGCCTACCAGGAGGCTGCATTCTCTGAACTACTATTGATAAATTGTTCAAGGACATGCCAACTCTCCATGTAGCATGTAGCTTCCACAGCCCATCCCAGCAGAGAGGTAGGAGACAAAACTGGGATGGGCATTTAAAAATCTATCTTAGGCTATTTGTGTTACCACTATCTAAACATTAAATATTCTCACTTTAAAGGTCACAAATCTCAAAACACTCTACTAAAGGTGGAAGGGTTTTCCCTAATCTTTGTGTCACACAATATGAAGGTGATGAGATGCGATTTTCTAAGGTAAAGCTAAGATACAGAGGGAAGAGGTGACCAGACTTGAGGAGGACCATCTCCTTGAGAAATATGGGGAATCTTTCCACTATGTTCTGAAACAAGTTAAATCTTACTTCTCGGCCGGGTGCGGTGGCACACGCCTGTAATCCAAGCACTTTGGGAGGCCGAGGCGGGCAGATCACGAGGTCAGGAGATCGAGACCATCCTGGCTAACACGGTGAAACCCCGTCTCTACTAAAAATACAAAAAAATTAGCCGGGCGTGGTGGCGGGAGGCTGAGGCAGGAGAATGGCGTGAACTTGGGAGGCGGAGCTTACAGCAAGCCGAGATCTCGCCACTGCACTGCAGCCTGGGTGACAGAGCAAGACACTATCTCAAAAAAAAAAAAAAAAAAAAAAAGGCCGGGCGCGGTGGCTCACTCCTGTAATCCCAGCACTTTGGGAGGCTGAGGCGGGTGGATCACGAGGTCAGGAGATCGAGACCATCTTGGCTAACATGGTGAAACCCTGTTTCTACTAAAAATACAAAAAATTAGCCAGGCGTGGTGGCAGGTGCCTGTAGTCCCAGCTACTCGGGAGGCTGAGGCAGGAGAATGGTGTGAACCCAGGAGGCAGAGCTTGCAGTGAGCCGAGATCACGCCACTGCACTCCAGCCTGGGCAACAGAGCAAGACTCTGTCTCAAAAAAAAAAAAAAAAAAAAAATTCTTACTTCTCACAACAGCTTAGCAGGCAGAATGTTACACTGCTGGTGATTCCACCTTCTCACTTTCTGTTATGTCCTCCCTGTCACTTAACGTTTATTTTAATAAATCACCGTTTCTGTTGCAAGGATAATACTGAGAAGTATAACAACAATGGCAGGCTGGGCACAGTGACTCATGCCTGTAATCCCAATACTTTGGGAAGCCAAGGCAAGTGGATCACTTGAGCTCAGGAGTTTGAGACCAATCTGGGTGACATGGCAAAACACATCTCTACAAACAAAACCGAACAAAAAAATTAGCCAGGTGTGGTGACACACACCTGTAGTCCCAGCTACTTGGGAGGCTAAGGTGGGAGGATGCCTTGAGCACAGGAGGTCAAGGCTGCAGTGAGCCATGATCGCACCACTGCACTCCAGCCTGGCCAGCAGAGTGAGACCCTGTCTCAAAAACAAGCAAAAACTGGCTGGGCGCGGTGACTCACACCTGTAATCCCAGCACTTTGGGAGGCCGAGGCGGGCGGATCATGAGGTCAGGAGATCGAGACTATCCTGGCTAACACAGTAAAACCCCGTCTCTACTAAAAATACAAAAAATTAGCCAGGCGTGGTGACAGGAGCCTGTAGTCCCAGCTACTCGGGAGGCTGAGGCAGGAGAATGGCATGAACCCAGGAGGCAGAGCTTGCAGTGAGCCAAGATAGTGCCACTGCACTCTAGCCTGGGCGACAGAGCGAGACTCTGTCTCAAAAATTAAAAATAAAAATAAAATAAAATAAAATATTCTTTTTTTTTTTTTGAGACAGAGTCTCGCTCTGTCACCCAGGCTGGAGTGCAGTGGCACAATCTTGGCTCACTGCAAGCTCCGCCTCCTGGGTTCAAGCGATTCTCTGTCTCAGCCTCCCCAGTAGCTAGGACTACAGGCGTGAGCCACCACACCCAGCTAATTTTTGTATTTTTAGTAGAGACGGGGTTTCACCATGTTGGTTAGGCTGATCTTGAACTCCTGACCTCAAGCGATCTGCTCGCCCCAGCTTCCCAAAGTGCTGGCATTACAGGTGTGAGCCACCGCACCTGGCCATTTTTCTCTAAGAACGTCTTAAAACAATCTTATATAATAATTCATCTAAGTATGTGAGGCTTGTCTCTCTTTTACCTTTATAAACATGTGTTCATCCAAATATGACCTCAGCTTTCTTGTGTGAGAAACCAGCGCCACAGACTTCCAGCTTAATGTAAACTTCCAGTTTACATTACATTGGCAGTGCTGGAGAAACTGAAGACCCACTGACCCAGCACATGCACCCCGGAAGCACCAGATCTTGGCAGTAATAACCATTCCTAACTTTCTAAAACACAGTGTGCCACGAACAAAGTGTTTCACAAGTCTTAATTTACTGAGTCCTCACAACAACCCTATGAGGCCAATATTATTAGTGTTCCCATTTTACAGATGAGAAGCCAAAGGCACAGAGACCTTGCCGAAGACCACAAAGCCAGTAAACAGAAGAGTCGCGACTCAGAGGCGGGCAGCCTGGCTCCAGAACCCGCCCTCCTGTCCACTCTGCTCCCCTGCCTCTCAGGAAGACAGCTGGCTACACCAAGTGCAGGGAGCGAGGCGCCACCCCCATTCATTCACTCCAAGCATTTATGGCTACAGAGCCTGCGCCCAGGGCGGTTTATGGAATGAGTCTCCTCGATTTACAGCCACACCTCCTATCAAATCGCCTTTCCCTCCCCCGGCGCGAGAATCGCACCTTGCTCCTTGTGGATCGGGCGCCGCCGACGGAACCACCTGCTGTCTATAGAGGGCACCTAGGACGCAGCGTCCAATTCCCCTCACTGGCTTCAAAAGACAAATCTCCGTATTGTTGTACCAGGAGGCACGAGAAGCCTCACCACTGTAGGTTTTTCAGCAGAGGTCACTGGAGGTCTGGTTAAACCCGTACAGCACTGAGGGGGAGGGGGCCCGGCTGCGTTTCCGAAGCTGCGCAGCGCCCACAGCAGCTGCTGGTGGGAAGCGGCTCGGAACACACCCACAGCTGCCAAGGAGCCGGCTGCACGTTTTAAAATAAAAAACGTCCTGGGCCCCAAAATGCACAGCCCGCCTCTCTCGCCGCCCTGGGCACGGAACGCCGCCTCCACCCACAGCACTCCAGCAACTGGGAAGCAACCGGGAAGCAACCGAGGGAATTCCAGCTCGGGGGGCAACCGGGAGGGGAAGGCTCCGAGCGCCGGAGCCCCAGCCCGCGCCTGCCGCAGAGGCGAGGCCGCAGAGCCCACCCGCAGGCGGCCATGACCCCACCTGGAGACGCCCATGTCCGCTCCCTGCGCCCCGGGGACAAAGCCCGAGGCTGCACCGCAGCGCACCGCAGCCCTGCACCCGGGCCGCCCTTCAGGACGCGGGCACCAGACCCGACCGGCGGGCATCCACCTTGTCCCCACTCCGACGGCGCCCGGGAATGCGGCCGGTGCCCCGAGCTCAGGCTGGGCACACGTGCACCCACACCCACCACGGGCGGGGTCCCCTCACACCCCCCTCGGGCAGGGGCACACTCACACCCATCTAGGGCCGGGCACACTCACACCTCCCTCGGGCAGGAGCACACTCACACCCCCCTGGGGCCGGACACACCCACACTCCCCTCGGGCCGGGCACACTCATACCCACCGTGGACAGGGGCACACTCACACTCACTCTGGACAGGGGCACACCCACACCCACATTGGGGCCGGGCACACTCACACCCACCTAGGGCAGGGACACAACTCACTCTGGACAGGGTACAGTCACACCCACTTCGGGCCGGGCACACGCGAACTCACCCACCCTCACACTCCCAGCCCGGCCCGTCGGCGCGCACCCGGGCCCCGCGCGGCCTCGGCCCCTCGAGCCTCCGCGCCCCCCGCCCGGCCGGGCCCCGCACACCCACGCCCCCTCCCTCCACGGCCCAGTCACAGCCCCTCCCGCCGCTGCAGTCGCCGCGGGCCTGGATTCCTTGCGCTGCCGGGCCTGGAGCCTCCGCCGAGGCTGGGCCAGGACCACGGGGACCGCAGCGCCGGCCCCTCCGCCATCTTCCTGGCCCGCGCCGCCCACCGCCCGTTGCCCGCGCTCTCACCGGCCGGCTGCGCGCGGGCCGCGCCGCCACAGTCCCTCATCCCGGCCCGCGCGACGCGCGTGAGCCAGCCGCCGCTCCCCGGCCTCTCTGCTGCTCCGCCGCTGCTGCCGCGGCAGCCCGTGCTGTCGGCGTCCTCCGCCGCCGCCGCCGGCCCAGTGCGCGGCGGCCGCGCGTCCTCCCGTCACCAAGCGCAACCCCCCGCCTCCGGCTCCGCCCCCGCGGCGGTCACTACCCGCCGCCAGGGGGCACTGCCTCGCGAGGCCGCATCACGCATGCGCTGGCGCGCGGCATGCCGGGAGCCGGAGTCCCGCGGAGGGCGCGCGCGGCATGCTGGGAGCCGCCTGGCCCCGCCCCGTCGCCGCGCCAGAGGCCTCCCGCGCGGACCTACCCTGTGAGTTAGCGGTGTCTTCCCGTCTCTTTCGGTGCAGAGCAGTTACCATCTGACACGTCTCGGTGTGGTTTGGTGTAATTTTGCCCTCTCAAACCACGTTGGGCTTCCCGAGTCTGAGATTTCACTTTTCTTCGACTCTAGAAATACAGCCATTCTTCTCAAAACGTGGGCTGCCCTGTTCCTCAGTCCTTCTTGTGGCGGGCTCGTGTCTCTTCACCTCCTGTTATTCTCACCTTTTTAGTCCTGTCACTTTTACTCGGTAATTCACTCAGCTGCAGCTCGACTAGTGCTCTATTCGGCGTTTTCTAATCTGCGTTCAGCCTGGTTTTCTAGATTCTCTTAGTGCCAGGTGCGTTTCTGGAAATTGAATCTGACTGGCATTTCTGGAGAAACGGAGGCTAAACAGCCTGAAGCTTCGATAGTAGAAGACAGGGGCGCACACCCTTCAGTCCTGGACATTCCCTGGGTCCTCAACTGTGAGAAGCCGCAAAGGGCTGAAAGGCCCCCGTCAAAAGTCATCCGTGGAGCTCCACCTCCTGCCCTGCAGCTCAGTCGCCTTGCAGGGACTCTCCCGCCTCAGGAGATCTCCCGTCGGGCTGTCTCGCCGCCCGCGCTTCCCTGTTGGGCCGTCGTCACACTTCACTCTTCACTCTTATACACAGGGCTCTGCTTTTTCGCCTCCCGCTCCCTCTCCACTGTATTCACTTAGAAAACCCAACTGGGCGAGCCCAACCCTTCTCCTCCATGACTGCTGAAGAAAATCACACATCCAGGCTGACTGCCTTCACCTTAAACTTGTGACAACACACTAGCAGTGAGCACTTCCCACCCCCGTGACCACACACTGGCGGCGAGCACTTCCCACCCCCGTGACCACACACTGGCGGCGACCATTTCCCACCCCCGTGACCACGCACTGGCGGCGAGCACTTCCCACCCCCGTGACCACGCACTGGCGGCGAGCACTTCCCACCCCGTGACCACGCACTGGCGGCGAGCACTTCCCACCCCTGTGACCACGCACTGGCGGTGAGCACTTCCCACCCCGTGACCACGCACTGGCGGCGAGCACTTCCCACCCCCGTGACCACGCACTGGCGGCGAGCACTTCCCACCCCGTGACCACGCACTGGCGGCGAGCACTTCCCACCCCTGTGACCACGCACTGGCGGTGAGCACTTCCCACCCCGTGACCACTCATTTACAGCGAGCACTTCTCACCCCCGTGACCACACACTGGCGGCGAGCACTAGCAGTGAGCACTTCCCACCCCCGTGACCACACACTGGCGGCGAGCACTTCCCACCCCCGTGACCACACACTGGCGGCGACCATTTCCCACCCCCGTGACCACGCACTGGCGGCGAGCACTTCCCACCCCCGTGACCACGCACTGGCGGCGAGCACTTCCCACCCCGTGACCACGCACTGGCGGCGAGCACTTCCCACCCCTAGTGACCACGCACTGGCGGTGAGCACTTCCCACCCCCGTGACCACACACTGGCGGCGAGCACTTCCCACCCCCGTGACCACACACTGGCGGCGACCATTTCCCACCCCCGTGACCACGCACTGGCGGGGAGCACTTCCCACCCCCGTGACCACGCACTGGCGGCGAGCACTTCCCACCCCCGTGACCACGCACTGGCGGCGAGCACTTCCCACCCCGTGACAACACACTAGCAGTGAGCACTTCCCACCCCCGTGACCACACACTGGCGGCGAGCACTTCCCACCCCCGTGACCACACACTGGCGGCGACCATTTCCCACCCCCGTGACCACGCACTGGCGGCGAGCACTTCCCACCCCCGTGACCACGCACTGGCGGCGAGCACTTCCCACCCCGTGACCACGCACTGGCGGCGAGCACTTCCCACCCCTGTGACCACGCACTGGCGGTGAGCACTTCCCACCCCGTGACCACTCATTTACAGCGAGCACTTCTCACCCCCGTGACCACACACTGGCGGCGAGCACTTCCCACCCCCGTGACCACACACTGGCGGCGAGCACTTCCCACCCCGTGACCACACACTAGCGGTGAGCACTTCCCACCCCGTGACCACACACTAGCGGTGAGCACTTCCCACCCCGTGACCACACACTAGCGGTGAGCACTTCCCACCCCGTGACCACACACTAGCGGTGAGCACTTCCCACCCACCGTGACCACACACTGGCGGTGAGCACTTCCCACCCCGTGACCACACAGGGGGAGGTGAGCACTTCCCACCCCCGTGACAGCACAGGAGGGGTGAGCACTTCCCACCCCCGTGACCACACACAGACAGTGAGCATTTCCCACCCCCGTGACCACACACTGGCGGCGAGCACTTCCCACCCCCGTGACCACACACTGGCGGCGAGCACTTCCCACCCCGTGACCACACACTAGCGGTGAGCACTTCCCACCCCGTGACCACACACTAGCGGTGAGCACTTCCCAGCCCGTGACCACACGCTAGCGGGGAGCACTTCCCACCCCGTGACCACACAGAGGCGGTGAGCACTTCCCACCCCTGTGACCACACACTGGCGGTGAGCACTTCCCACCCCGTGACCACACACTGGCGGTGAGCACTTCCCACCCCGTGACCACACACTGGCGGTGAGCACTTCCCACCCCGTGACCACACACTGGCGGTGAGCACTTCCCACCCCGTGACCACACACTGGCGGTGAGCACTTCCCACCCCCGTGACCACACACTGGCGGTGAGCACTTCCCACCCCGTGACCACTCATTTACAGCGAGCACTTCCCACCCCTGTGACCACACACTGGCGGTGAGCACTTCCCACCCCCGTGACCACACACTGGCGGTGAGCACTTCCCACCCCGTGACCACACACTGGCGGTGAGCACTTCCCACCCCCGTGACCACACACTGGCGGTGAGCACTTCCCACCCCCGTGACCACACACTAGCAGTGAGCACTTCCCACCCCGTGACCACACATTTACAGTGAACACTTCCCACCCCGTGACCACACACTGGCGGTGAGCACTTCCCACCCCGTGACCACACATTTACAGTGAGCACTTCCCAACCCCGTGACCACATACTAGCGGTGAGCACTTCCCACCCCCATGACCACACATTTACAGTGAGCATTTCCCACCCTGGTGACCACACACTTAACTAATTAAAAATATACAAAATATTTATAGAGGACATTTAACTCTTTTTTTTTTTTTTTTGAGATGGAGTCTTGCTGTGTCACCTAGGCTGGAGTACAGTGGCGCCATCTTGGCTCATTGCAACCTCTGCCTTCTGGGTTCAAGCAATTCTCCTGCCTCAACCTCTTGAGTAGTTGGGATTACAGGTGCCCACCACAACTCCTGGCTAATTTTTTGTATTTTTAGTAGAAATAGGGTTTCACCGTGTTGGCCAGGCTCCTCTCAAACTCCTGACCTCAAGTGATTCACCCACCTCAGCCTCCCAAAGTGTTGGGATTACAGGCGTGAGCCACCACACCTGGCCAAGGACACTTAACTCTTTAAGGACTTAAAAAGAAAATCTAAAGTCCCCACTAATGGAGGGGGACCTGTGTGGTGGCTCACAGCTGTAATCCCATCGTTTTTCCAGGCTAAGGTGGAGGAACGCTTGAGATCAGGAATTCGAGACCAGCCTGGGCTGCATAAGGCAACCCCGTGTCTACAAAAAGAAATTTTAAATTAGCCAGGCGTAGTCAAGAGGCTGAGGTGTGAGGATCACTTGAGCCTGGGAAGGTCGAGGCTGTGGTGAGCTGTGATCACACCACTGCCCTCCAGCCTGGGCAACAGAGCGAGACCCTGTCTCAGAAAGTAAAACAATAATAAATAAATGGAGGAACATAGCACGCTCGTGGACCAGGTGGTATAACATAGTAAAGATGTCGAGTCTTCCTAAAGTTATATAGAAATCCAAAATGTTAATAATCTTAATTCCAGCAAGATTTTTTGAGGACTGTAACAACATATTTTAAAAATTGCACAAAATAATATAGATCTAAAAATAGCACGTCCAATTGTGAAGGAGGACATGAAGGGGGACGGACCCTGCCAGAGATTAAGGTCTGCTCCTGAGCCGGGGTGTTTCACAGGCCCAGAAACACGCAAGGGAATGGAGCAAAGAGTTTAATCACATCCACACATCAAAACCAACGAGAAAAGGTCTATTGTTTAATAGAGCCTCTGTTTGTGAGCTACAGGGAGAAAAACAAAGTTGGATCCCTGGGCCACCCCGGGGTATTTACACATCCGTGTTCCTCTCCTAGGGAGGTGCCCAGGGCTCGCCTGGCGCATCACAGGGTGCCTGCAAGTTTGACTTTTTTTTTTTTACAAGTATTTAACTAGAAGTAAGTTTGACTTTTTAAGAAGCCATCACACCACTCCCAGCAGCTCTCGCGAGTTACAGCTTCTCTGCGTTCTCACTAACACCTGCTGTGGCCAGTCTTCTGGTTTTCTTTTTGTTTTTTGTTTGTATTTAAAATACATAACATAAAATTTACCATCTTAACCATCTTTTTTTTTTTTTTTTTTTTTTTTTTTTGAGAAGGAGTCTCACTCTGCCGCCCAGGCTGGAGTGAAGTGGCGTGATCTTGGCTCACTGCAACTTCTGCCTCCCAGGTTCAAGCGATTCTCCTGCCTCAGCCTCCCGAGTAGCTGGGAGTACAGATGCCCACCACCACACCCGGCTAATTTTTGTATTTTTAGTAACATGGGGTTTCACCATGTTGGTTGGCCAGGCTGATCTTGAGCCCCTGACTTCAAATGATCTGCCCACCTCGGCCTCCCAAAGTGCTGGGATTACAGTTGTGAGCCACCACACCTGACTAATTTTTTTTTTTTTTTTTTTGTGACAGAGTTTTTTGCTCTTGTCACCCAGGCTAGAGTGCAATGGCGTGATCTCAGCTCACCGCAACTTCCGCCTCCTGGGTTCAAGCAATTCTCCTGCCTCAGCCTCCCGAGTAGCTGGGATTACAGGCATGTGCCACCATGCCCAGCTAATTTTTTGTATTTTTAGTAGGGATGGCATGTCACCACGTTGGCCAGTCTGGTCTCAAACGCCCGACCTCAGGTGATCTGCCTGCCTCAGCCTCCCAAAGTGCTGGGATTACAGGCGTGAGCCACCGCACCAGGCCTATTTTTAATTTTTTGAGAAACCACCGAACTCTTTTTCACAGCAATTGTACCATTTTGTTATTTATTTATTTTTAAGATGGAGTTTCACTCTTGTTGCCCAGGCTAGAGTGCAATGGCATGATCTCAGCTCACTGCAGCCTCTGCCTCCCCAGTAGCTAAGATTCAAGCGATTCTCCTGCCTCAGCCTCCCCAGAAGCTGAGATTACAGGTGCCTGCCACCATGCCCAGATAATTTTTGTATTTTTAGTAGAGGCGGGTTTTCACCATGTTGGCCAAGCTGGTCTTGAACTCCTGACCTCCCACCCACGTTGGCCTCCCAAAGTGTTGGGATTACAGGCGTGAGCCACTGCAAAATTGTACCATTTTACATTCCCACCGACAGTGCATAAGGGCTCCAATTTCTCCATATCTTCTCCAACACTTGTTAATTTCTGTTTTTTTTTTACAGTAGTCATCCTAATGGATGTGAGGCGATATCTAATTGTGATTTTGATTTCCATTACCCTAATGATTAGCGATGTTGAACAACTTTTCATGTACTTATTTGCTCTACTTATATTTTCTTTTATAATGTGTCTGTTCACATCTTTTGCCTGCCTTTTTTTTTTTTCCCTTGAGACAGGGTCTTGCTCTGTTGCCCAGGCTGGAGTGCAATGGTATAATCTCAGCTCACTACAGCCTGGACCTCCTTGGCTCTGGTGATCCTCCTGCCTCAGCCTCCCAAGTAGCTGGAACTACAGGCACACACCACCACACCCAGCTGATTTTTTTTTTTTTTTTTTTGTAGTTTTGTAGAGACGGGGTTTCGTCATGTTGCCTAAGCTGGTCTTGAACTCCTGGGCTCAAGTGATATGCCTGCCTCAGCCTCCCAAAGTGCTGGGATTACAGGCATGAGCCACCTTGCCCAGCCCTTTTGTCCATTTAAAAAAATTGAGTTTCTGGGCTGGGCGCTTTGGGGCTCCTCAAAGCAGACTGAGCCACTCTGCTGGGATGGCACTGGAGACACAGCACCTGCCACTCGGCTTCTTTCTTGGCAGCTCTTCTCCCCGAGTCTCACCTCCTTGCTCCCCAGGTGACCATCCAGTGTGCAGACCTTGGCTCAGGACACTTCCTCAACTAGTGACTGTGTCTGGGGAAACAGGATTGATTTGCAGGCACAGCTGGCTCAGGAAGCCCCACAGACAGCTGCTTGGAGCCCTTTCCTCAAGTGGATCCAGGAGAGAGCTGGCTTTGAGGGCCTGGTGGATCATCCATGATGTCTGCCCTGTGTCTGCTGGAACCCAGCAGGATGTCCTGCTTGGACATCTGCACCTAAAATGCCAATGTCTTTGGTCTGGAATCATCTGATTGCAAGTGTGAGAAACAAACTCACCCGTCCAAACCCAAAGAATGGACTTAGAGACCAAGAGAACAGCGAAAGTGAGACTTTTAATGATGGCCTTGCAAGGTCGGGTGTCTAGTAGGCAGGCACACCCAGCACAGTCACAACAAGCAATTTATCCCCTAGTGTGCAGGTCCCTCCCCCAGTTCCTCATAGGCTGAGTACTAGGGGGTCACAGTCTTCCCAGATGTCACCTATTGATTGTTATGCAGAGGCTGTAGGTGTTTTTTTTAGGGTTGTCTTGCTACATTTTGTTGCAGCCCACAATGCATTGCAATCCTAGTCAGCTCGGGGGCTCTTTAAGAATTTGATTTATGACCTAAGTAGCTGGGAAGGCTGATAAGAACAGACAAAGCAAGCTATTCTGCAGGCTAGTAAACTTTCATCTCAGACTAAACTTCTTTGGATCGGGTGAGGGCCATTAAGCGGCGGGGTGGCGGGGAGGGGACAAGAAGCCGGCATTGACTACGCAAGCAGGGGCCTAGTTTATCCTGTTTCTTCTGTAGTTTGCTGTCCTAAACCGATTCAAGGCACTTTGTCTTGGAAATGGACCACCGTATACATTATTTCCTTCACAAGTAGAAGCTACACAGGCTCCTAAAACTGAAGAGGACTCACTGGAAGCCATGGGAGCTTCTTACAAGCAGATGGCATGAGGCTGACAAAGGGCCTGGAAAGGGCTGGCACTGTTCTCTCCCCACAGCCTTTGGCTTCCCTGCTGTCTCTCCCCACCACTTCCCTCTTTCTCTCTCTGTCTCTTTCCCCCTCCCTCTCTCTGTCTCCTTCCCTCCCTCCCTGCCCTCATCTGGCTATTCTGCTTTCCATGCAGGGGCTCCCCAATGCCCCGCCCCAGCTCTGTGGGGTCTCTTGGCACCAACCCTGGCACTAAATGGGATGTGTGTTACTAGCCTAAGGAGGAGTGGGGGTGGGATCTGTCTCTGCTGGAGACAGACATCAGCCCCTCAGCTGTGCACCCACAATCATCTGGTCCAGTCAGCATGGCCTGGGGCAGCCGCAGGAAAGCACATGGACCAAAGCAGGTCTCACAGTGAAGCGATTACTTGCTTAACTATAAATCCTCCTCAAAGACATTCCCAGTTGCTGCTCCTAGACATGACATCAGCGACCACTGAAAAAGGTGCTCAATGGGGGCTGTGGACCGGCTTGCTCTTCATACAGGGACTGTGTGGCTCAGGGTTGGGCCTGCAATCCGCCGCACCACTAATGCTCCACTTGGCCCCCATAAGCCATGGATGGCTTGGACTAGCTAAACCATCATAAAAACACTAGGAAGAGAAGAAAATGTGTATTGTAAAATTCTTTTTTTTTTTTTTTTTTTTTTTTTGGTGAGACGGAGATTTACTCTTGTCCCCCAGGCTGCAGTGCAATGGTGTGATCTCGGCTCACCACATCCTCTGCCTCCCAGGTTCAAGCGATTCTCCTACTTCAGCCTCCCGAGTAGCTGGGATTACAGGCATGTGCCAGCATGCCTGGCTAATTTTGTATTTTTGGTAGAGATGGGGTTTCACTGTGTTTCCCAGGCTGATCTCAAACTCCTGACCTCAGGTGATCCGCCTGCCTCAGCCTCCCAAAGTGCTGGGATTACAGGCGTGAGCCACTGCGCCCGGCCTTTTTTTTTTTTTTTTTTTTTATTGAGACAGAGCCTTGCTCTGTCACCCAGGCTGGAGAGCAATGGCACTGTCTCGGCTCACTGCAACCTCCGCCTCCCGGGTTCAAGCGATTCTCCTGCCTCAGCCTCCCAAGTAGCTGGGATTACAGGCATGTGCCACCATGCCCAGCTGATTTTTGTATTTTTAATAGAGGTGAGGTTTCGCCATGTTGGCCAGGCTGGTCTCGAACTCCTGACCTTGTGATCCTCCCACCTCGGCCTCCCAAAGTGCTGGGATTACAGGCGTGAGCCACCGCGCCCGGCAGTAAAATTCTTTTTTGTTTGTTTGTTTTTGAGACGGAGTCTTGCTCTGTCGCCCAGGCTGGAGTGCAGTGGCGCGATCTCGGCTCACTGCAAGCTCCGCCTCCCGGGTTCATGCCATTCTCCTGCCTCAGCCTCCCTAGTAGCTGGGACTACAGGCGCCCGCTGCCACCCCTGGCTAATTTTTTATATTGTTAGTAGAGACGGGGTTTCACCGTGTTAGCCAGGATCGTCTGGATCTCCTGACCTCGTGATCCACCCGCCTCGGCCTCCCAGAGTGCTGGGATTACAGGCGTGAGCCACCGCGCCCAGCCGCCTGGCCGTAAAATTCTTTGAGAGATTTGTTTCCCAATGAAAGCAGGTTTTGTTCTGGTGTTAGTTATTAAACAAATACTGATCACACACTGGTTTAGGCATCAGGGGTACAGCACTAAATGGAAAAGGAATGTCCCTGCCCTCCAGGAGTTTACATTTAGAAAGTTTGTGGGAAAGACAAATAACTAAGCCTGTCACACAGTGCTGCCATATGGAGCCAAGTGCAGTGGGGACAAGTCAGGCAAAGGGGGGAGGGAGACGGGGAGGCTGCAGAGAGGAGGTCTTTGTAGACAACAGAAGAGAGGGAAGGGCTGAGCCAAGCAAATAGCGAGGGCAAAGGAGAAAGGCAGTACAAAGGCCCTGAGGCAGGAATGTGACCGGAGGCCTACCAAGAGGAGAAAGAGCAGACTCCACGTTCAGAGAGAAGGAAGGGGATGGCGAGGGTCTGGGGACCTGAGTGAGTGGATGGGTGGGGTGATGGGACTTGTGTTTTAAAGGAAATATTCTGGTTGTTGTGAGGAATAGGCTGCATGGGGCAGGGGCCAGGTGGTGGCAGGCTTGGGGGAGCAGCAAGAGCTGGAGCCAAAAGGAGGCCAGCCTTGGTGGTGCAGCAGTGTAGGTGGCGGGGAGTGGGGTCTGCAGGGTCACCAAGAGGTTGGGTAATGAACGTTCACTGTTTCCATTTTCCCTGCTGCATGTGCATCCCTGGGCCCTAGCCTATGCACTGGCTCCCGTTTCTGTGGATGTCCCAGAGTGGAACGGCTCAGCCCAAGGACAGGTGCATTTGTGAATTTCAGAAATGCTCCTAGATTTCTTTATAAAGTGCCTGTGAAAATGTACCTTGCCACCAGCTGTGTGTGTTAACGCCGTTCCCCCACTACATGAGTCAGCTTTCGCTGAGTTGTGCGGTAGTAACAACTCCCAGATCTCTGGCTTTTAACATTGGAGTTTCAGGCCTTTGTGTTATGCACCTGCTCTTTAACGATCTTCATGCTGGTGTCAGCGCCATAGAGTATCTGTCCTGGACAAGCTGTTTTCATGGCAGTGCGGCAAAAGCCATGCTGGAATCTTATGATAACATTTCAGGCTGCTGAAAGGTGGCAGCTGTTTCACTGATCAAAGCAACATCATCAGTACAGGGGGGCCTTCTCCTTCCATAAGGAGGGACACTGCAAGTCTCATGGGTGGGCAGGGATGTCGTAGGCAGGAGTTATTGCAACAGAGTACAATCGATCAGCACCAAGTGCTATTGCTTTTTACATTTTTGCCAATGTCATGAGTGAGAAGTGATTGTTCACACATGAGTTTTAAGTTGCCCATTGATTAGTGAGGTTGAGCATCTTTTTCATGTTTATTGGCCATTTGGATTGTACCATCTATCAATCTATCATCCATTCTTTTATTTATTTATTTATTTTTGAGCTGGAGTCTCCCTCTGTGGCCCAGGCTGAAGTGCAGTTGCGCTATCTCAGCTTACTGCAAGCTCCGCCTCCCGAGTTCACGCCATTCTCCTGCCTCAGCCTCCCGAGTAGCTGGGACTACAGGTGCCCGCCACCACGCCCGGCTAATTTTTTTATATTTTTAGTAGAGACGGGGTTTCACCGTGTTAGCCAGGATGGTCTCGATCTCCTGACCTCCTGATCCGCCCGCCTCAGCCTCCCAAAGTGCTGGGATTACAGGCGTGAGCCACTGCACCCGGCCCATCCATTCATTTTAAAATCTATCTTTCTATTGTATTTTTGAACTTTTAAAAATTAAATTTGGCGCAGTGTGGTGGCTCACATCTGTAATCCTAGCACTTTGGGAGGCCAAGGCGGGTGGATCACCAGGTCAGAAGATTAAGACCATCCTGGCCAACATGGTGAAACCCCGTCTCTACTAAAAATACAAAAATTAGCCAGGCGTGGTGGTGTGCATCTGTAATCCCAGCTACTCGGGAGGCAGAAGCAGGAGAATCGCTTGAAACTGGAAGGTGGAGGTTACAGTGAGCTGAGATCACGCCATTGCACTCCAGCCTGAGCAAAAGGGTGAAACTCCATCTCAAAAAAAAAAAAACAAAAAAAAAAAAAGAAAGAAAAGAAAAGAAAGGCTGGGCTTGGTGGCTCACGCCTGTAATCCCAGCAATTTGGGAGGCCGAGGCCGGCGGATCAGGAGGTCAGGAGATAGAGACCTTCCTGGCTAACACGGCGAAACCCCGTCTCTACTAAAAATACAAAAACAAAATTAGCCGGGCGTGGTGGCGGGCGCCTGTATTCCCAGCTACTCGGGAGACTGAGGCAGCAGAATGGTGTGAACCCGGGAGGCGGAGCTTGCAGTGAGCCGAGATGGCACCAGTGCACTCCAGCCTGGGCGACAGAGTGAGACTCCATCAAAAAAAAAAAAAAAAATTAAATGTTTAGGAGCACTTTGTATATTATAAATAAGAGAAATAATAATGATAGGTAACAACAGCACCAACTACACCAAGCATTGTTGTTCTAAGCATTTTTCTTTCTTTTTTTTTTGGGCGGGGGGGACGGAACCTTGCTCTGTCACCCAGGCTGGAGTACAATGGTGTGATCTCGGCTCACTGCAACCTCCACCTCCCGGGTTCAAGTGATTCTCCTGCCTCATCCACCCTAGTAGCTGGGACTACAGCTGCGTGCCAACACGCCCGGCTAATTTTTTGCATTTTAAGTAGAGACGGGGTTTCACCGTGTTAGCCAGGTTGGTTGCGAACTCCTGATCTCATGATCTGCCCGCCTCGGCCTCCCAAAGTGCTGGGATTACAGGTGTGAACCACTGCGCCTGGCCATTCTAAGCACTTTCTATACACCATTAATTCATTTGATCCTCACCACGACCCTGTTTCATTGACAAGGACACCGAGGCCCAGGGACTGTCTCTTCTAGGTGACTTCTGAAAATGTGACAGGAGAGCCAGACACTGCATGTACTGTTGTACTTGAGCGAGTTAGAGAAAACGCCACACTTTGAGACGAATTAAGAGTCTGTTTATTTAGCCAGCGGCCAAGAGACGGCTAGCGCTCAAAGTTCTCTCGGCCTTGAAGAAGGGGCTAGATTTTCCTTTATACTTTGGTTTAGAAAGGGGAGGGGGGTCTAGTTAAAACAATTTTACAGAAATAAAGTAGGCAAAAAAGTTAAAAGGATAAATGGTTACAGGAAAGTAAACAGTTCTAGGTGCAGGGGCTTAAAGACGATTACAAGGTGATAGACGCGGGTCGTTGGGCGTTATCAATGGGACAAATTCTTGGGAACTGCGGATATTGCTCGCCACAGTATCTTATCAATTAATTGCATTCTTGGATGTGCTGGGAGTCAGCTTGCACAAGTTAAATCCTTGAGGAAGGGGCTGCCAGTGAAAGAGCCGAGATGGAGTCTGTCTGGCTCTTAGCTAAGGGAGAGTCAATTCAGGTGGAACCAAGGCTAGGTGATTAAAGGAAAGAGGGAGAGTCTAAAAACAGGGTTAGTGAAAACAAGCTTGGGGATTACAGTACTAAGCACTGGGCCACACGCTGCCTCCACTTTGCTCTGCCGCATGTCTTCATACTTTTCTTGCCCCAGTTAAATTTTTTTTTTAAGACAGTCTTGCTCTGTCACCCAGGCTGGAGTGCAGTGGCACAATCTCAGCTGACTGCAACCTCCGCCTCCTGGGTTCAAGCGATTCTCATGCCTTAGCCTCCTGAGTCGTTAGGATGACAAGTACGTACGACCACACTTGGTTAATTTTTGTATGTTTAGTAGAGACGGGGTTTCGCCACGTTGCCCAGGCTGGTCTTGAACTCCTGACCTCAAGTGATCCACCCGCCTTGGCCTCCCAAAGTGCTGGGATTACAGGGTGAGCCACCGCACCTGGCCGTGCCCCAGTTAAAATTTGTCTATCAATTTCATTTAAGGGATCTTTTGTCATACAAGTCTTTTTCATTTTATTAAATAAATATGCCTAATCTGTTTTTTATAGCTTCTGAGTTGCCCGTCACGGTTACAAAGGATTCCGCTGATCTATCTTGCACATATGATGTCCTAAATTTTCACTAAGATTTTTATTGCTCTGAGTTTTAAAAAAATTTTATTGTGGTAAAATTCATATAACATAAAATTTACCATCTTAACCTATTTTAAGTGTACAGTTCAGTGATATTCAATACATTCACAATGTTGTGCACTTATCACCATCATCCATCTCCAGAACTCTTTAACTGTGTAAAACTAAAACTGTCCCCATTAAACACTAACTCCCCATTCTCCCCTCCCCTCAGTCCCTAGTAACCAACATTCTTTCTGTCTGTATGGATTTGAATGCTCTAGGTACTGCACATAAGCAGAATTATACAGAATTTGTCGTGACTGGCTTATTTATTGCTCTGTTTTTAATTAAGGCTTTAAATACCTCTAGAAATATTTTCATATATGTTATGAGACAGAGGACAACTTTAATTTCTTCTAAATATATTAATGATCCTGGTCGGGCGCGGTGGCTCATGCCTGTAATCCCAGCACTTTGGGAGGCCGAGGCAGGCGGATCACTTGAAGTCAGGAGTTTGAGACCTGCCTGACCAACATAGTGAAACCCCATCTCTACTAAAAATACAAGAAAATTAGCCAGGCATGATGGCATGCGCCTGTAGTTCCAGCTACTCGGGAGGCTGAGGCAGGAGGATCGCTTAAACCCAGGACCTGGAGGAGGTTGCAGTAAGCTGACATCGTGGCTTGGGTGACAGAGCAAGATCCCTCTCAAAAAAAAAAAAAAAAAAGTAATAGCTTTAGCATATCGTTCTATAAATGATGCTTGTTCTTGGAGTTTATGGTTAATAATTTTTACCATATTTAAATCATTTTCATTTATTCCTATTTTCTTTGAAATTTTACTCAGAATGGCTCTAGAATTGTATTCAATGTTATTATTTAGCATATGTGGATGGAATGCTGTTTTTTCTTTTTCTTTTTCTTTTTTTTTGAGAAGGAGTTTCACTCTTGTTGCCCAGGCTGGAGTGCAATGGCGTGATCTCAGCTCACTGAAACCTCCACCTCCCGAGTTCAGGCAATCCTCCTGCCTCAGCCTCCCATGCCCAGCTAATTTTTTTGTATTTTTAGTAGAGACAGGGTTTCACCATGTTGGCCAGGCTGGTCTCGAACTCCTGACCTCAGGTGATCTGCCTGCCTCGGCCTCCCAATGTGCTGGGATTACAGGTGTGGGCCACTGCACCCGGCCTGTTTTTTCTCTTTTAATTTGTTGAGCTAATGAATTGCAA
Source organism: Homo sapiens (assembly GCF_000001405.40). NCBI lineage: Eukaryota > Metazoa > Chordata > Mammalia > Primates > Hominidae > Homo > Homo sapiens. The sequence goes on from NT_187569.1 coordinate 72,315, forward strand.
TGGTATGTAGGTATCCTTGTATTCCTGAAATAAACCATACTTGGCCATGGCATATTATTTTTTTGATATGCTGCTTGATTCTATTTGCTACTGTCTTATTTATAATTTGTTTTTCAATATTAAACATAGAGATCTGGGTCTATAGATTCTTTGAGCTCTATCATTTTGGCGTGTTAAGCTTCGCTATGGTTTGGGTGTTTGTCCTCCTAAACCTCATGCTGAGATTTGATCCCCAATGTTGGAGGTGGTACTTGGTAGGAGGTGTTTGGATTATGGGGGTGGATCCCTCATGAATGCGTGGTGCCCTCTTCATGGTAATAAGGGAGTTCTAGTTCTATGAATTCCCCCAAAAGCTGGTTGTTTAAACAAGCCTGGCCTCTACCCACTCTCTTTCTTGCCTTTTCTCTTGCTGTGTGATCTCTGCACACCAGCTCCCCTTCATCTTCCACCATAAGTGAAAGCAGCCTGAGGCCTCACCAGTAGATACTGGTGCCATGCTTCCTGCACAGCCTGCAGAACTGTGAGCCAAATAAACCTCCTTTCTTTATATTACCCAGTCTCAGGTATTCCCTTTATAGCAACATAGACTTAGACAAGCTTACAGACAGAAGGCTTCGTAAAGTGAATTGAGGTTTTTAATCTTTTTCTGTGGCTTGGAAGATTGTAATTAACTTTCAAATTATCTGATCTCTAAAGGTTGGTGAGAGCTCAGCTGTGATCTGGAGCCATCTAGAGCTTTCTTAATGGTAGCTTTTTAATCACCTCTCTAATCTGTTTTTTTTTTGGCAATTAGTTAATTCAAGTTTTCTACTTTGGCTCAGCTTTAGTATTTTGCTAGGAACCTATCTGTTCCATCCATATTTTCTTGGCTTTTCCTGGCCTGCCTGGCACAGTCTGTACTGAGAGGACGAAGGCCTTTTCCATGAGTGTCCTTGGCCATGAGTGGGTCAGGGCATCTCCTTGTTGGCTTGGGTATCAGTGGGGAGTGGAATGAGGACACAGCTTCACCTCTAAGGACTCAGAAGCCTTCTTGCAAAGACAAGGCCACCCCTCCCTTGGGGGGGTTGGGGGGTCCAAGATGTGAATAAACATGGAGTGTTCACACCATCCCACGGCCTGCAACCCCAGTGAGAAGGCCCCAGCCGCGTTTCTCTTTGGAGTGGCCCATCCATAGCATTCTGCCTAAAAAAGCAGGGTCCTGGAGTTCCAGGGCTTCTCACTGCACAGGGCGTGGGACACACCTCTTGTCTCTTGGGAGGTACCCGGAGCCCAGCCTCTCAGGCGCTGGGCGATGCAGGGGGTGGGGACTGTAAGCCCTGGGAGATGGGGCAGTGAGGGGCGCTGTGAGGCAGGGTGGTGTGGGAACTGAAGGTGGGGGCGCTATGGAGGATGCGGGGTGGTGTGTTGTAGGGGAGGGCGGTGTAGGGGATGGGTGGGGCAGGGCAGTGGGGCGGGGCCTTGGGGCGGGCGCTGTGGGGCGGGGTGGTGTGGGGGGCTATGGGAAGGGGCACTCTGGGGAGCTGTGGGGTGGGGTGCTGTGGGGCACCTTGGGGCGGGCCGGTGTGGGGGTGCTGTGGGTGGGGCAATGTGGAGGGTCATAGGTTGGGGCCTTGAGGCGGGGGTGGGAGGCTGTGGGGTATTGTGGGGTGGGGCCTGGCGCTGTCAGGGGCGGTGGGGCTGAGGGACCCGAGGTCGAGGCCTCGTGAGGCGCTGTGGGGCAAGGTGCTGTGGGAGGCTTAGGGGGCTGGTGGGCTGGGGGCACGGAGGGGAGGCTGTGTGGGCGCTCGGCGGCAGGGCGGGGCGGGGTGCTGGTGGGCTACGGGACGGGAGGGTGGGACAGTCTGCGGACCATGCGGGGCTGGGTGGGCTGGATCAGTGCCCAAGTTGACTTCGCGTCACCAACTGGCATGAGGTTTGGGTAGGAAAGCGGGCTTCTCACAAGAATAAAATCCATCAAGGTCCTCTGTCTCCACTGGAGCCCCCAGTCACAGCGCCTTCCTCCGGGCTAGAACCTGTCGGGGGCCCCCAGCCTGTCCAGGGCCGCTGTCTTCCAGGAAAGAGAGAGCTGTGCCCAGAGAGGAGACAGAACTCTTTCTCCGTGAATCGCATCCTTTTCTGTGCGGGATGATTTACATTCTGGGAACAAACGGGGCCGTATCTCACAGTGCTGCAGGATGCCAGTGGTGCAAACAGTCGGCGACCCGGCCATTTCCCGAGGGTCTCAGGCGTCCCACCCAACGGCCGCTCCCCGTTCCCTGTCCGTCACCTCCTCGTTCTCCTACGAAGGCGCGAACGTTCCAGACTCTCGCCGGTCCTCGACAGCACTCATTCAGTCTCCCCCCTGGAGATCCCAGGCTGTACTCTGGGACAGAAAAGAAGGCGGGTACGACCGCGGTGTCGGGTCCTACCTTAGCCGCTCCTTCTCCTGAGGGAGCCAGGCGGGAGAGAGGGGAACCACCGAGGCCTCGGTCTTCCCGCGTCCCAGAGCGGCCGGGCGAGTCTCACTTCCGGCCTGTGACCCGCTGACCTGTCCTTGTCCCACCAGTCGGGCGGTGAATTGGACTGACTGGTGACCCCTGGCACCAGGCTTCCCCATGGGCACCGGAGCAGGCGGACAGGGGTGGGGTCCCGCGAGCGACACGGAAGGGTCAGTGTGGCGGAGCGGACCCTGTGGAGGCGGGGTCACTGTGCTCCTGAGAAGGGTCCTCGGGGGTGGAGTCTATCAAGGTTGCGGGGGCGTGGTCACGGAGCGGAGCCAATAAAAGCGGGGCGTGCACGGCCGCGGGCCAGTGCCTATGAAGGGCGAGGGGTGTGGTCACAGGGCGGGATCTACGAAGGATGCAGGGGCGAGGCCGGGTCTCTGCAGGATGTGCGGTCGCGGGTCGGAGTCTATAAAGGCAAGGGGCGGGGTCCCTGGGTTGGGTGAGGGGTGTGGTCATGGGGGGCAGGTCTGTGTAGGGTGAGGAGCTTGTTCCCCGAATGAGGGTCTGTGAAGGGTGAGGGGCATGTTCCTGGGGTGGGGGTGTTTGTGAAGGATGAGGAGAGTTTTTCCGGCATGAGGGGCTGTGAAGGGTGAGAGCCATGTTGCCGGTGGTGCGGGTCTGTGAAGGGTGAGGGGAGTGTTCCTGGAGCAGGATATGTGAAGGGTGAATGACGTGGTTTCGGGGTGAGGTTAGTGCAGGATGAAGGGAGTTGTCTAGGAGCTGTGTCCTCTAAGGTGAGGGGCGTGGTCTCTGGGCGGGGTCCGCCATTTTGTCTGGTGAAAGTTGGGAAGGGACAAGCGAGACTCCCACCTCTGGCCTCATCCTCAGCCCTGCGTTTTCCCCACTTGTACTGCCAGAAAGCTGAGTGGTGGCAATCACTTTTGGAGTCTTCCTGAGACAATCCACCAATATGAAGTAAACTCGAGGAAGTGAGAGGAAATCATTCGTTCATTCATTGATTCCACTCAAGGATCACCCAGGGCTCCTCTCTCAGCTCTTCTTCTCACGTCCAATGCCCTACAAGATATCTAGAAGCTGCCCTGCTGTCCCTGCACGGCTCTTGGGCCGGAAGCGTGCTGGGGGTGGTGGGGGCCAGGGAATAGCATAAAGAGGGAAATGTGGAGCAGAGCCTGGCTCTGTCTGTGCAGGACTCTCCTCTCAAGCATGAATGGCCATGGGATGGTGATGACAGGTGGTACCTCTGACTTAGCAAACGTGGAGCACTGAGATAGGAAAGGGCCACTGGACCCCAACCTGTGCCCTGGACCACAGGTTTCCTCCCGTGTCCTCTCCTGCCTCCAGACTGCCCTCTGCAAGAAGCCAGAGTGATGTCTTCCATTGCTGCTTGTTAGAAATAAATGCTCATTCCCTGGTGTCGCAAGGAAGAGGCAGCATTTAGACAAAAAGTACTCTCAGCAAGGCAACTTTACTTTCTGCAGAAATGGTACTGCTTGCCAGCAGTCTTGCCAAGAGAGTACACCGAACAAAGGGAGACAGGAATATGTATCCCTAACGCATGAGGTCCCTACTGCTGTGTCCTATCTCCGTTGGCTGAGTTGGACCTCACATTCTAGGCTGAACTTAATTGGTTAACAATTTAAAACTTTCTAAATAGGTAAAGACAATGAGGAACAAAGGAAAAGAGGAAGTTGCTTACGAAAGGACTTTAGAACAGTAATAACATTTCTGAATAAGGAAGGGGCATAGGCTGCAAGCTGGGACATGTCTGGGCACGTCCAGCACGAATATTTCGGTTAAGGTACAAGGACACAGAATGTACTACATGTCTGTGAAAATGTCTAACACAAATACTGAAGTCAGAGTATACAGGCATACGGTATGCTTATTCTGTTACATTTGCTATATAAGGCATAACAGAGTTATCACTATAAAATAACAAGCTTGAATAGAACTAGCTCTGAGAGAAAATACCAATAACATTTCTGATTTAAAGAAGAAACTTTGAAGAGGAACTTTTTACTTTCCACACTGCTCTTAATTTTGAGAATGTTCAAATCCACAGAAAAGTATTATGAACACCATAAACTCTTCATTTAGATTCTATAGTTGTTGACATTTTGCCACACTGGCTGTATCTTTGAATATATTTACTTTTTGCTGCTGAAAAGTAATTTGAAAATACCGTTGACCCTTGAATAATAAAGGGGTTGGGGCAGTGACCCCTGTGCAGTTGAAAATCAAAGCATAACTTTTAACTCCCCTAAAATTTAACTACTAATAGCCTACTGTTGACTGGAAGCCTTACGCATAACATAGTCAATTAACACATTTTTTATGTTATATGTATTATATACTCTATTCTTTAGATAAGCTAGAGAAAAGAAAATGGTGTTCAGAAAATCATAAGGAAGACATAATATATTTAATATTCATTAAGTGAAAGTGGATCATCATAAAAGTCTTCATCCTCATTGTCTTCACATTGAGTAGTCTGAGGAAGAGGAGGAAGAGGAGGATTGGTCTTGCAATCTCAGGGGTGACTGAGTTGGAAGAAAATCCAATTATAACTGACCCTTGCAGTTCAAACCTGTGTTGTTTCAGGGTCAGCTGTAATTTGTAGACATCATGACACTTTCCCTTAGGTACCTCAGCCTATTTCCTAGAGATGAGGACATTTTCTTACATGATAGCAATACTTTATTTCACCTGAGAAAATTAACAATTATCCCGTGGTCCCCGGGCACGGTGGCTCATGCCTGTAATCTTAGCACTTTGGGAGGCTGAGGTGGGTGGATCACGAGGTCAAGAGATCGAGACCATCCTGGCCAACATGGTGAAACCCCATCTCTACTAAAAATACAAAAATTAGCTGGGTGTGTTGGCATGCACCTGTAGTCCCAGCTACTTGGGAGGCTGAGGCAGGAAAATCACTTGAACTCAGGAGGCAGAGGTGGTGGTGAGCCAAGATCGTGCCACTGCACTCCAGCCTGGCGACAGAGTGAGACTCCGTCTCAAAAAAACAAACAAAAGCAAAAATCCTGTGGTCACATAACTTATTTCTCCAATTGTCTCTAAAATGTCTGCATAGCTGGGTTTTTCCCCTCTAATTCAGAAGCTAATCAAGATTGCATGTTGCATTTAATTGTGTCTCTTCAGGCTGTTTTTTTTTTTTTTTTTTTTGAGACAGAGTCTCGCTCTGTCGCCCAGGCTGGAGTGCAGTGGCGTGATCTCGGCTCACCGCAAGCTCCTTCTCCTGGGTTCAAGCCATTCTCCTGCCTCAGCCTCCCGAGTAGCTGGGACTACAGGCGCCTGCCACCATGCCCAGCTAATTTTTTGTATTTTTAGTAGAGACGGGGTTTCACCGTGTTAGCCAGGACGCTCGATCTCCTGACCTCGTGATCTGCCTGCCTTGGCCTCCCCAAGTGCTGGGATTACAGGCGTGAGCCCGGCCTTTTTTTTTTTTTTTTTTTTTTTTTTTTGGAAACAAGGTCTCACTCTGTCCCCAAGGCTGGAGTGCAGTGGCGCCATCATGGCTCATTGCATCCTCATCCTCCCAGGCTTAGGTGATCCTCCCACCTCAGCCTCCCGAGTAGCTGGAACTACAGGAATGTGCCACCACGCCTGGCTAATTTTTTGTATTTTTTTATAGAGACCAAGTCTTACCATGTTACCCAGGCTAGTCTCAAACTCCTGGACTCAAAGGATCTGCCTGCCTTGGCCTCCCAAAGTGCTAGGATTACAGGCCTAAGCCACCGCACCTCGCTGGCTGTTTTAATCTGGAATAGCTTCCCTGCTTTTTGTTTCTCTTTAGGACACTGACTTGTGACCATGTGTGGCCATCTATCTGTGTTATACCCCATGTTCTAGGTGTAACATGGAGCCCACACAGATTAACACTCCCTGCCCTTCATGCCCCAGTGGGTGGAGTCGTGGTCTCTGCTGTCCATGAGGCAGAGGTGGTTGAGGTGACATGCAGCCAATTATGGCTTGCCCCCAACCCCCTGGGCCCAGCTGCTGGGGAGAGACCCCTGCTGACCACCTTTCCAGGGTCCAGCTCAGGCCGTGCCCCTCCACCTGCAACCATGATGCCATGGTGGCTTCTTTTGTGGTGGCCTCTTTCGAGGGGGTGCAGGGAGGCTGCAGAGCTGAGGCCTCAAGATGGACAGGGCTGTGGGCCAGAGGCCTGGTGAGGAAGCCAGTTTACAAACCCCAGTCAGAGCGGGCTGAGCCAGGGGCCGGCAGAGACTGAGAGACCAAGGACCAGGGTAGTGATTGGGGGAGGGAGGCGCCCTGGCCTCAGGCAGGGGTGGGGGCGGCTGGGGAGGAGGGGAGCAGGTGGAGGGGTGAGCCCTCACCCCCTGCCATTCCCAGCCTGGGGCCTGCTGCCAGCTCTACCAAAAGGGTTTTCTCCAGGCCCAAACTATAGGTCCTCCTGCAGGAAACTCTGAGGATGCACACCCCTCCAGCATGACTCCAGCCCCTCTTGAACATGCCTCGCCCCCACAAGGCATTGATTTGAGGTGCTCTAGGGAGGAGGGCAAGCTGGAGACCCGAGGGAGCCCACAGTGGACCCAAACTCCGGGGGTGGGAGAGGGTACCAGTGGGAGGTGTTGCCAGGCAGGGTCAGGGTCAGGTCACATCCTCCAGACTCCAAGCAGCAGAGGCACAGCATCACCCTTGAACCTGAATTCAAGGGCTCTGCAGCAGCACTAAGCCCAGGTGAGAAGGTCTTGGGCACAGGTGCCCTTCATGCTGAAGGAAATGCAGGGTCACCAGCTCCTAAGACAGCTTGTTACCTGGGGCCGCTGCAGCAGTCAGGTCTGCGGGGCATGGGCTTGCCCTTTTGTGTCTTCCTTTTGACACCCTGCCTCTATCCTTCCCAGGAGGAGCCCAGCGATGGTGGCTGAGCCCCAGGTGAGCTGGCCTTTGGGGAACAGTTGCTGCCCAAGGCCTCTCCCCCTCAGCCTGGAGCCCCTTGCCCAGCAGACCCTTGGGGCCCTGAGAACAGAATCTCCCTCCTCAGATCCAGGCCCACCCCACTAGCTGCCCCTTCCACAGAGCTGAGCAGGATGCAGGGCCCTAAGGGGAGAGCCCAGTTTTGAGAGCTCTGTGTTTCCATAGTCACACCTTCCCTGCCCAACCTACCCCTAGCTCTTTTCCTAAACATCTGCCTGGAAGGTAGGGAGATGCACGTAGAGCCTCTTGCTAGAAACTCAGTCCAAGCTGCAAGGTGCATTTGCCCTTGGGCAGGGGTGAGGCTCTCTGGGCAGTGAGCACCTGTGATTCCAGGGCACAGTGATGTTTGAGGAGGTGGCCATGTACCTCACACAGGAGGAGGGGCAGCACCTGGGACCCCCTCAGAGAGCACTCTACCAGGATGTGATGCTCGAGAACCACTGCACCCTACCAGCTCTGGATAAGCATCACATGGTGGGCTTCAGGTCCCTGCTCCCCATCCCCAGGTGACTGGTCCCCTGGGCTCTCTTGACTCATAGACCAAATATCCCCAGTCCATGCTGGGGTGCTCGTGTCCCAGCAGGGAGTGCCCAGTGATCTCATCACCCATTCTTTCTTCTCGAGACCTCCTCTGGATCCCCCTCCTCTTGCAGCCTCTGTGGCCCTCAGCCAGGGGCAGCTCAGATATTCTAGCACTGACCATTATCTTCTTGATAGACAGGTTTTTCAGTGTCCACACTCAGGGTTATCTCCCAGCAGGAGCAGGGGAAAATGCCATGGGTCATTGCTCTGCCAGGGCCTCCCTGCACAGGTGAGTGAGGAGGTGGGTATCTCAGGGGAACTGTGATGTGTTGTGCATGTGAGCTGTGAGAGTGGTGAGGGGGGAGTTCAAATGGCCAGCTGAGAGACCCCTGATTGTCTATTCTGGCTCCCGTCCTGGCCCCACCTTCCCTCTGAGGGGAAGTGCAAGTCCACTGTGCAGCTACTCAGGTGGGACAGCCATTTTCTAGTGGTGACCAGCCTTCCGATGAGCTGATTTGCACTTACATGTCAAAGTACAAACAAAACTCCACATTGTGGTCACACGGGAGCATGCCCCCAGCACCCTCTCCTATTTCCACAGTTTGCATGCTGCTTGCATGCAGGCATTCTTCTAGGTGCTGGGGTTAAGTATAAGCAAAACCAAGTCCTTGTCTTCAGGGAGTGTACATTTTGGTTTGTGGAGAACATCGTAGTTTGTGGAAGAATTATTTATCCTGCCTGATGTCCTATCACATTGTCGGTCTCCACATTAGAAAGTTAAGGGACAGGGGACTTCATTCATTCACCAATTCCCTGGTACCTCAAGCAGTGCCAGGCACCCAGGAGGCACCTGGCAAACACTGCTGGAATGAATCCCTCGTTCTTTAGTTGTCAGTTCCTGCTTTGTGCACTGCGCCATTAAGGTGCCGCAAGTACTTGTGTGAGAAGGCATTTGCCCTCAGAATTTCAGTCCAGTCAGAGTGAGATGGACACACACAACTAAGCATGATACAAGACAAAATGGAATAAAGTGATTAACAGAAGGGAAAATAAAACTCAACTCAGGCTGAGACATATGAGCTGCACGGAAATTTGCTTTGGCTCAATCAATTCCTTCTTTCACAGGGAAACTTTTAATTTCCATTCTTTGTTTCAGATTCCTAGGTCAAAACAAAGCATAAACAATCAACGCCAACAGAAAAATCTTCCGAAGAACAATTACAAGAAGTAACTCAGGAAATTTTCCCAAGAGGCAATCCAGAAGAGTTTGAGTTTCGATCAGCTTGTAGGACTGAGACAGGAGCAGAACATTGCTGGAAGAAATTCACAATACAGACCAGGATGAAGTTATTTCCCCAAAAGAGAGGTTCGAGGCAAGTGGTCAGCTCCCCGTTGAAAATCATTGTAGCAGACAAATACCGGGAATGTAATAAATTGGAGAAAAGTTTGTCTCTGGGCACAAAGCCTGTTGTACCTCTGAGGGACAGGCCAGGAAAGAGAGCCAGTGGATGGAGGATGGGTGGCTGAGGCTTTCCATGTGAGTCATATCTGAGTGGACATCGGGCAGTTACCAGTGGGACAAAGCCCCATGGATGCCATGTGTATGGGAAGTCTTTCAGCAAGAACTCACACCTTACTTGGCATCAGATAATTCATACTACAGAGAAGCCCTGTGTATGTATTGAATGTGGGGAAAAAAACACAACTCAAGCCTTATACATCATCAGAAAATTCACCATGGATGGTGAAACCCTATCTCTACTAAAAACACAAAAATTATCTGGGTGTGGTGGTGTATGCTGGTAATCCTGGCTACTCAGGAGGCTGAGGCAGAAGAATTGCTTGAACCAGGGAGGCGGAGGTTGCATTGAGCTGAGATTGCGGCACTGCACTCCAGCCTGGGCGACAGAGTGAGACTCCATCTCAAAAGAAAAGAAAAGAAAAGAAAATTCATGGTGGAGAAAAACCCTGTGTGTGTAGTGAATGTGGTAAGGGCTTTAGGGAGACATCAAAGCTTGTTAAACATCAGAGAATTCATACTGGAGAAAAGCCCTATAGGTGGGATGAATGTGACAAAGCCTTTAGTGGGAATTCAAACCTTATTAAACACCAACTGATACATACTGGAGAGAAGCCCTATAAATGTATTGAGTGCGGGAAAGCCTTTAATCCGAAAGCAAATCCCATGCAATATCAGAGAATTCATACAGGAGAGAAACTTTTTGAATGTCAAGAGTGTGGAAAAAGCTTCAGTCAGCCATCACACGTGATTCATAATCAAAGGAAGCATGCTTGAGAGAAGCCCTACAAATGCAGTGAGTGTGGAAGGGGCTTCAAACATCACACCTGATTGATCATCAAAGAATACACACTGGAGAGAAAACTTATGTGTGTGTCATGTGGGAGAGGCTTTATTCAGATGTCACACTTGATTCATTGCCACAGAACACATTCTGTAGAGAAGCCACATGCATGTAGTGTATGTGGGAAATGCTTCAGCCAGAGCTCAACCCTTATTAGACATTAGGTTGTTCACATTATGGATAGGAAGTATAAGTTAAAGGAATGTGGGCAGGCTTTCAGTGTGAGCTAGCTTCTCAGTCACTATCTCACAAATTCTACTGGAGAGGAACCCCTCAATTCATACAGGAGAGAAGAGCATCCAAGAATGCAACAAAGGTGGGAAGACTTTCATTGTAGCTCATTATATAATGTCAGAGAGTTCCTGTTGGAGAGAACCCCTATGGATGTAATGAATGTTGAAAAAGCATTTATTTGGAACTCACATATTATTTACAATGAGATAATTCATAGAGGATATAATGGATATGAGAGGCTTTGGTGTACTGTGGGAAGTAGGTGGAAATGTGGGTTCCTGCTATTGCCAGCTGCTCCCTTTTGAATAAACTGCCCTAGCAGGTGCTTGCCCCAGGGTGGCCATGCTCTGTAGGGAATCTTGCTTTAGACTGGGATTGTAAGATGGAGACAAAGACAGCCTTATTCCTGGCTGGGAATGCCACTGGAAATGCTAGGGGAGGCCAGTGGTCCATGGCGTGGCCTGATCTCAAATATGCAGAAACCAGAAGCAGAGACCAGACCCAGAGAGAGGCAGATAAATGCAACCCCCAAAGTGGATGCACAGGAAAATGGAAAACTACTAGAGTTAGTGTTGGGTCTCCAGAGCTGCCTTTTTATCCTGAACAATGATGAGCAATGACTCCAGGTCTTCGTGAAACCAAACAGAATAGCTGAGGCAGCTTCCTACACCTCTGCACTAAGTTTTTTAAATCTGAAAGCATGTAGAATGAGTGTCAGCCGCACCAACATGTAGGATCTGTCTTTTAATCAGAAGGCAATCCGTTGTGGCTACTGGCTATACTGAAAACATAACATTATTTTAACATAATCCTTCAGCAGCTTAGGATAAAATCCTTGACTTTAGAATGAAGTTTTCACTATGAAATGAAATCAAGGCTGGGCACAGTGGCTTATGCTTGTAATCCCAGCACTCTGAGAGACCAAGATGGATCACTCGAGGCCAGGACTTTTGAGACCAGCCTGGCAACATGGTGAGACCCCATCTCTACAAATAAATAAAATTAGCTAGGCATGGTGGGAGGATCATTTGAACCCAGGAGGTTGAGGCTGGAGTGAGCCATGATTTCACTACTGTACTCTGTCCTGGGCAACAGAGCGAGCCTCTGTCCTAAAAATATGTGTGTTAAAGATTACTTATATCTAGTTCATACCTCCTAAAGGTAATTTGAATTGAAATAGTGATGCATACAATAAGGTCATTAAAGTAGAAACAGAAAATAAAGGATTATAAAGCCATTGATGGTAAGAGCAATTGATTTTGTGAACTACAAATCATAGATTTAACTGAATAGTTTGTTGTTTATACAAAATAGCTGTTGAAAAGTTTCTGACTGACTGGGTGCAGTGGCTTATGCCTATAATCCCAGCACTTTTGGAGGCCAAGGCAGGTGGATCACTTGAGAACAGCCTGGCCAACATGGAGAAACTCTGTTTCTACTAAAAATACAAAAATTAGCCAGGCATGGTGGTGCACGCCTGTAATCCCAGCTACTCCAGTGAGTCAAGAGAATTGGTTGAACCCAGGAGGCAGAGGTTGCAGTGAGCTGAGATCACACCACTGCACTCCAGCCTGGGTGACGGAGTGAAACTCTTGTCTCAAAAAAAAAAAAAAGTTTCTGGTTAGATTTTTCCTCTAGGCGCAATCTGAGGAGAAAGGAGGAAAGCTTGGAGAGGAACACAGCTATGAAATGCATCCATCTGCCCCTCCTTCGTCATCAGGCAATGGCACAATCTGAGCCAGGAATGACCCTCTGTCTTCCAAGGCCTGAGGTGCAGAGAAGAGCAACCAAGCCCACATAATCTTCCAGGGTTCCAACCCCAGTCCTGGGTATAAGAAGCAAGCTGTTGCCTTATATGTGTTAAAAAGAAGAGAGGGGCTGGGTGCAGTGGCTTACGCCTGTAATCCCAACACTTTGGGAGGCTGAGGCAGGAGGATCACTTGAGGCCAGGAGTTCAAGACTAGACTACAAAGTGAGACCCTGTCTCTACAAAAAAAAAAAGAAAAATTACAAATTAGTCAGGTGTGGTGGCCTGCACATGTAGTTCCAGATACTTGGGAGGCTGAGGCAGGAGGATCGCTTGAGGCCAGAAGTTTGAGACTACAGTGAGCCGTGACTGCCCCACTGAACTCCAGTCTGGGTGATAGAGACCACCTGGTCGCTAATTAAAAATTGTTTTCAAAAGGGAGGGGAGGGTAGACTCTTGAGTCTTGTCTACAATTCTGTACTCCTTTCAGGGAAAACGGACCTTACATTCATAAAAGGGGAGCCACAGCAGCTGTTGTCACCAACAGGTGCTTTTGTGCATCACTGATTTGTGTCTGGCTCACTCACTTCCACTTGTCCTGTTGTGCACACCGTTGGATGCCAGGTGACACTTGCCAAGGTCGTAAGTGCCACAGGACTTGCAGTGAAGGGAAGGGTTGATTGGGGAAGAGGGATGAGGAAGGTTTGGATGAAGGGATAGAACTGGGCCTTGAAGGATTGACAAGATGATGGCAGAAGGAACACAGATGAGCTGGGAAGAGGCTGATACTCTCAGATGCCGTGGAGTTGGGAGTGTGAGGACCCGGGAAGGACTGGGATCCTGCAGAGCCTGGCCTTGCAGGCCCTGCTGGGGAGTGTGTTCAGTCCTGGAGACATGGGAGCTGTAGGATATTTTGAACCAGGAGGGTTTCAGAATTCCTCTTCAAGGCCATCTGGGTACGTGGACTGCAAAGCACCTGGCAGCTCCCTGTGCCCACGAAGTTACTGTGCTCCATGTTGTGCATGGCTCTTCTCCTCACCTGTCATCCAGGGGTGTCATAGGTATGCTGCCCTGTTCCTCAGACTGTAAACTGGCTTCTTGATTACCCTCATGGCTCCTTTTCCTTCACATGAGATTTTATGGTTTAAAAAAAAAAAAAAAAAGAACCCACACAGTTTGTGGCTGAATGCTGTGGTCAAGGACCTGGGCCATAGCGCACTTGTACTGGGGAGATCAGCAGGGAGATTACTGAGAGGCAAACTCACCTGCCCAGAGTCTGGACTGTGGCTCTGCAGGCTCTGATACCTGATTCTTCCCTCATACTGAGATGATCCCTACACTCCAGGAAGTGGACATAGAAGACCAGAAAGTCAGGGCACAGATTGAGCCCTGCTAGAGGCTAGATTCTTAACATCTGCCCGAAAGTTGTTAGCAACCCTGGTGTTGCCACTGGGATTGTACCTCCGTTTGTGCATAGGTCTTGAGGGAAGCTGGAGGAACAGAAACCAGAACATGGGGAGTGGACAGTGCCTGGACAGTATCTGTACATTTCTGGCTCTTTGTCTTTCCATTTTCTTTCCTCTAAGGCTTAGAGTCCAAGCTGAATGTTAGTTTCCTCTGTGTTTCTCTAATGAATGATTAGGTTTCTGCTCATGAAATTAAAATCTCATTCTATGCCCTTTGGGACAATAAATTTAGACTTGATGGAAGTTTAGAACGACTCCCAAATTATTCAGTAACACATTTAAAGACAGTCTCTTGTCTGTCCCTATGATGGCCAGCCACATCGAATGTGAGAGCCTGGGGGGAGTAAAAAGAGGGTTTTGGAGTGGGACAGATGGATCTGGATCATAGACAATTTGTTCAACCTCAGCTTTCTTACCTGTGAAATGGTGATGTCAATCCTTACCTGGCACACGCAGAGCACTTGGCACCACCTGGCACATAGCAGGTGCTCCATGAATGGCAGCTACTGTTACTGTGTCTGGAGTTGGTTCCTTCCAGTTGGTTCGTGGTCTCACTGACTTCAAAAATGGAGCCACCAACCTTCACAGTGAGTGTTACAGCTCTTAAAGATGGCACGGACCCAGAGTGAGTAGCAGCAACATTTATTGTGAAGCGCGAAAGAACAAAGCTTCCACAGCATGGAAGAAGATCCGAACGGGTTGTCCCTGCTGGCTGGAGGGTGGTCAGCTTTTATTCCCTTATTTGTCCCTGCTCATGTCCTGCTGATTGGTCCATTTTACAGAGTGCTGATTGGTCCATTTTACAAACCTCTAGCTAGCTCTACAGAGCACTGACTGGTGCATTTTACAAACCTCTAGCTAGCTACAGAGTGCTGATTAGTGCATTTTACAATCTCCTTGTAAGACAGAAACGTTCTCTGAGTCCCCACTCGACCCAGGAAGTCCAGCTGGCTTCACCTCTCATTACCACCACAGTGGACTTTAGTAGGCTAATGGTCAAAGGCAACTTTATCTTTGTGACCAGGAGATAACTTTTTCCCCAAATGGGTGAAAAGACTAAGGTTCTGACATGTTGCTTCCGGGCTCCTGCTGTGGATATCATCAACCACAGCCACCTGGAAACATTCCCGAGATACCTATTTTTCCTACAGAGAAGTCAAGTTATTTTTCCTACCTTCGGTCCTTAGTTCTCATTCTCCAAGGAACTCAACAGTCCTGAGCAACACTGAGGTCTCAGGGGCCTAGTTCCATGAGGGACTCTGTGGCAACTGGCCCCTGGGTCCCTCCCCTCCCATCCAGGGCCGCCCCAGCGGTCTCCATGCCCAGGGCGCCTCTTCCCTCTTCAACAGCCCCAGGGGCACCAGGGCCGCTTCTCACTCAACACTGTCTCTGGGCGACCTCGCGAGCTCAGTGGCATCACTGACCATCAAGACGCCCCAATTTGCATCTACATCACAGCAGCATCTGCCGGCTTTAGGTCCTGTCTTCACCAGGATGTCCCACAGTCGCTTCACACTAAGAGCCCAACTGGCCCCTTCCTTGCCCGGACCCGGAGCTCCTGTCGGGGACCGTTGAACCACCGAGTGGGCGGTCATCCGGGTGTCTCAGAGCAGACCGAGAGCAGGTGCGCAGACCTCTGTGGACGGCTACTTCCGGTGCGCTCCCAACAGGTTTCCGCCCGGGGTCACCGGCCGCAGTGCTCCTTTCGGCTCCAGGGAAGCGCGGACTCGCCCCTGCTGCCCGCCCGGCGTTGCCTCAGCACATCCCTGACCGTCGGAGGAGCCCCTAGAAGTGGCAGTGGGCGCAATGGTGGCGGCGTGTGGCGGGGCCGTGCCCAGAAGCGCTCGCAGTCCCGGAGCGGTGGGGGAGGGCCGCTGCACCCCGCGCCCGAGTCTGGGCGTCCGCATTGCCGCGTGGCCGGCGAATTGCGCCCGAGGGGGTGGTTAAGACAAAAGCGTGGGGAGGGGCCACGTCCCCGCTGCCCCAGCCAGGCGTTTCCTTGCCTCGCTGATCGTTCCTCTACGGCGGGAACGCGAGGCGCCCACCGGGGATGTCGCTAATGAGTCCGCGGGGCGACGCCGAGAGTGGCTTGTGAGGGGTCCCCGCCGGAGCCCCTGGCGCGCGCCTCTTCCAGTGCTTTCCACCTCATTTCTGGCCGAGTGCCTCGAGAGGGTAGAGGGCGAGAAATCCTTTGCCTCAAACATCCCCTAAATGGGTCGGAAAGATCAAAGAGAAACGTTTCTGAGGGAAAACCTGGCGTCATCGCGTCAGCCACGTTTTCAGAGCGTGCGTTTTCCGCGGGGTGGGAGCTGCCGTCTGACCATAGGTTTCTTGCGGCCCTAGATTCTTCGGCGCCTTAAACCTGGGGTTCCGGAAGCTGTAGCCCCCGTTTCAAAATCCGCCGGAAGCGCCTGACCCCCAGAAGTCGCGCTCTGCCCTGACCTGCCGGAGAGCGGGGGCCGCGCGGAGTTTCCGCGGGACTTCCTGCTGTGGAGGTTAAAGCACGGTTTGTCAAAACGCCTTAGAACTTGCAATGCCGGCCATTCGCGTCGGGGTGGGGTCCCCAGAAGCAGACCCTGAGGTGAGGCTTCCTGTATTCTTGGCTTATTGGGAGGCGCAGGCTCGGCCAGTGAGGACTGGGAAGAAGAGGAGGCCAGCCCGGGTGAGCGTCGTGCAGAGGCCGCGGGGTGACCGGGTCCAGTCCTGCAGGGGGGTCTGGAACATGTTCGGATCGGACCTCAGCGCGGATCCCTCCCGTCGGGGTGGAGGGAGCTGGGCCTTTTCTGCCTCAGCGGCTTTAGGACTGTTCCAGGAAGAGGTGAGCAGCGGCGGCCCTCGACCCAGAGAAGCAGGGGCCACAAGGAACTGGGTGCAGGAAGGTGGTGAAGGGCCCAAAGGACGCGTGCGTGGCCTCAGGAAGTGCCGGAAGAAAGCCTGAGTCTGAATCTGAGAATTTCTCCAGGTTTACCTTCTTGAGGGGTCGCCAAACTGTTTTCCAAAGCAGCTGCCTCATTGTACCTTCCCATTCTGTATCTGTTCATCCATACAGCCATACATGACAGTTTCTCCACATCCTTATCAACACTTGTTATTGGCCTTTTTTTAAAAAATCATAGTCATAGCTGGTGGGTGTGAAGTGGTGTCGCTTTGTGGTTTTGATTTGTATTTCCTTGATAAGTAATGATGTTAAGCATCACCTCACATGCTTAATGGCCATTTGTGTATCTTTGAAGAAATATCTATTCAAATCTTTTGCCCATTTAAAAACTACTTGTCTTTTTATTGAGTTGTAAGAGTTGTTTCTCTGTTCTGGATACAAGTTCTTTAGCAGATAGATGGTTTGCAGATATTTTCACCTACCGTGGGTTGTCTTTTTCAGTTGTTTGTTTTTTGAGACGGAGTCTCACTCTGTCGCCCAGGCTGGAGTGCAATGGCGCGCCATCTGCGCTCACTGCAAGCTCCGCCTCCCGGGTTCACTCCATTCGCCTGCCTCAGCCTCCCGAGTGGCTGGGATTACAGACGTGCGCCACCGTGCCTGGATGGTTTTTGTACTTTTTTTTTTTTTTTTTTTTTTTGTGAGACGGAGCCTCGCTCTGTCGTCCAGGCTGGAGTGGAATGGTGCGATCTCGGCTCACCACAACCTCCGCCTCCTGGGTTCAAGCGATTCTCCTGCCTCAGCCTCCCGAGTAGCTGGGATTACAGGCACTCGCCACCACACCAGCTAATTTTTGTATTTTTAGTAGAGACAGGGTTTCACCATGTTGGCCAGGCTGGTCTCAAACTCCTGACTTCGTGATCCGTCCACCTCGGCCTCTCAAAGTGCTGGGATTACAGGCGTAAGCCAGTGAGCCCGGCCAGTTTTTGTACTTTTAGTAGAGATGGGGTTTCAGCATGTTGGGCAGGCTGGTCTCGAACTCCTGACCTAAAATGATCCACCCGCCTCAGCCTCCCCAAGTGCTGGGATTACAGGCGTGAGCCACCACGCCTGGCTGTCGTTTCACTTTCTTTTTTTTTTTGAGTCGGAGTCTGGCTCTGTTGCCCAGGCTGGAGTGCAATGGCATGACCTCGGCTCACTGCAACTTCCGCCTTCTGGGTTCAAGCAAATCTGCCTTGGCCTCCTGAGTAGCAGGGATTACAGGCGCCCACCACCACACCTGGCTAATTTTTGTATTTTTAGTAGAGACAAGGTTTCACCACATTGGCCAGGCTGGTCTTGAACTCCTGACCTCGTGATCTGCCCGCCTTGGCCTCCCAAAGTGCTGGGATTACAGGTGTGAGCCACCATGCCCAGCTCACTTTCTTGATGGTATCATTTGCAGCACAAAAGTTCTTAATTTTGATGAGGTCAATATTTCTCTTTTTATTTTGTCATTTGTGCTTTTGGTATCTCTTTCAAATAACCTGCTTTTGGTTTTCTTCATTGACTTTATTGTTTCCTTTTTTAAAATGTTCATTTTCCCATTACTACTTCTTTCTTTAGGTTTACTCTAATATTCTTTGTCTAACTTCTTAAGTTGAACATTTAACTTCTTAGTATATTAATTTTTTTTTTTTTTTTTAAGAGGCAGGGTCTTGCATAGTCACCCAGGCAGGAGTGCAGTGGTGCCATCATAGCTCACTGCAGCCTCAGACTTCTGGGCTCAAGTAATCCTCTCACCTCAGTCTTCAAGTAGCTGGGACCACAAGCTCAAGCCACCATGACTGGCTAACTTTTGTGTTTTTTGTAGGGACAGAGTCTCACTATGTTGCCGAGACTGGTCTCAAACTCTGGCTTCAAGCAATCCTCCTGCCTCAGCTTCCCAAAGTGCTGGGATTGTAAGCCACTATGCCCAGACTAATTTTTGATTTATAATTATGAAAGTACAATAGATTACTTGACAAAAGTTTATAAATTAATGAAGACTGGACTTAGTAATAGGCTGATTCTTTTTAAGCTCTAAGTAATAGAAGTTGAAGGACAGTATTTTTAGTAGCGATGGGGTTTTGCCATGTTGGCCAGGCTGGTCTTGAACTCCTGACCTCAGGTGATCCGCCCCCCTCAGCCTCCCAAAGTGCTGAGTTTACAGGCGTGAGCCACCATGCCTGGCCTTAAGCTTTCTTAAAGTTTTTATTTAATTATGAACCTGACAAAAGAAGTATATATTTATCATGGACATGTTTTGAAATATGTGTACATTGTGAAATGGCTAAATGGAGCTAAATAGCATATGCATCCTCACATACTTTTTTGTGGTGAGAAAAAAGCTACTCTAGGCAGTTTTGAAGAGTACAATACATTGTTAATAACGATAGTCACCATGTTGTACAGTAGATTTCTTGAACTTATTCTTCCTATTTACTTCCTCCAAAGGACACAAAGGAAATTTGGTACCCTTTGATCAACATCTCCCTGAGCTTTTTTTTTTTTTTTTTGAGACGGAGTCTCGCTCTGTCGCCCAGGCTGCAGTACGGTGGCGCGATCTCGGCTCACTGCAAGCTCCGCCTCCCGGGTTCACGCCATTCTCCTGCCTCAGCCTCCCGAGTAGCTGGGACTACAGGCGCCCACCACCATGCCCAGCTAATTTTTTGTATTTTTAGTAGAGACGGGGTTTCATCATGTTAGCCAGGATGGTCTCGATCTCCTGACCTCATCATCCACCCGCCTTGGCCTCCCAAAGTGCTGGGATTACAGGCATGAGCCACCACGCCCGGCCTCCCTGAGCTTTTTATTTTGAAATAATTTTAAACTTGAAGAGTTGCAATAATGCAGAGAACTCCCAAATAACCTTAACTCAGACTCACCAGTTCTTAACCGTTGCCATATTATTTCTCTTTCACTTTTTTCTGAACCATTTAGAAGTAGGCTTGAAAGAGTCATTTTGTCTATAATTTCCTATGTTCCATATCTTCCTGTATTTCTTCCTGTTTCTTTTTGGGGGTACAGAATATAGGATGAGACACTTTTTAGTTTTAAAATATCTGATTCTAGATGTTTTTAGTATCTCCAGATGCTTGCTTGAGTATATTTACTTCTGTTGTGTTAGTTTTCTTCTGCTCCTTTGACTTCTAGTCACCTTGGACTCCCAGGACTCCAGCTCCATCTCCATCTCCTAAACTTGTAGAGACTGCCCAGCATCTCCTTATGCGCAGGTGGATTTTTTTCCTAGTCTGTCTTTATACAGGGGGTTCAACCCTTTGGGGTTCCAGCTTTAGACAGGGGCCCAGGTTCCAACCATCACCCTCAAGCCACCCAGGCCTGTCTTCATGGGGGCTGTAAACGAGCCCCAGAGCTGTCCTAGCATCAGTTTCCAGGTGGGAAGCTCTGACTTTCATTTCGGTCTTCATTTTTACCCCTGAGGTGTTCCCTTGCTCTCTTGGTGCTTAACCATGCATTGTCCTACTAACATCCTCAGTCCCAGGGTCCACAGCAAGTACGTGTCACAACAGCCCTTAGAGCCACCCACAAGCCCTCCCATGCCCCGGTGCTTCCTTCCATTCTACGTAAATGTGAGGCCTGTGGGCCTCTTAAGGGAGGCATCATTGTGGGACCTTTCCAGTAGATCAGAAGGAGAAAACAATTTTAATGTACCCAGTGTGCTCATGGACAGAGCAGAAGCAGAACACAAGGTTCACATTTACGCAAAGCACATTCTTGGCACTGTTTCCTTTCTCTGCCTCCTTCACCTCTCTTCCTTCCTTCCCAAGTACATCCTAAGCACCTGTTCTGTATCGTGTGCTGGAGATAAAAAGGTGCATAAGACAACATCTCTGACAGCAGAGAGTTCTCCGTATAATGTAGGGTAACGAGGTAGAAAGGAAAATGTAAGTTGAAATGGTGGGGATATGAATGTTGTGCTGTGGGATACAAGGGTAAAAGAGTTATTTTTTAGACGTGGGGGAGGTGTTTTTTTCCCCCATTTTAGAGCTGGAGAAAAAGAGACCCAAGAAGATTCAGTGTTTTCCCTGAGGTCAGAGTGAATCCATTTCAGAGGGAGACAGGACCCTCCAGGTGAGCCTGTGCTATCCACTCCCTCTTTTGTGTGGACCATTCCACATGGACCACACTAAGGCTGGCAATTCCCACACTTGGAAGAGGTTCTGTGATAAGAATTTTAATAATAAAGTGGGGGAGACAGAACCTGAGCGGGGGAATAAGCGCAGCAAATCACAGAATGGATGTTAAACCAAATGTAGCGGTGACCCCAAATTCCCTAAGAAAACAGTAAGGCCAGGCGCCGTGGCTCACGCCTGTAAGACCTGCACTTTGGAAGGGCAAGGTGGGTGGATCGCTTGACTCCAAGAGTTCAAGACCAGCCTGGGCAACATGGTGTGACACCATCTTTACAAAAAATTAAAAAATTATCTGGGTATGGTGGTGTGTGCCTGTAGTCCCAGCTACTTGGGAGCTGAGGTCGGAGGGTTGCTTGAGCCCAGGAAGTCAAGGCTGCAGTGACCTGTGATCGCTTCACTGCACTCCAGCCTGGGTGATAAGAGTGAGACACTGTCTCAAAAGAAAAAAAGAAAACAAAGATGGAATGAGAGATTAACTAAGGTAGGCTCCTTGAAGGGGGGAAATATTTCAGTTAGACCTGGAGGGAATGAAAGGTAGATTTGAAAAAAGATTCTTGGCCGGGCACGGTGGTTCATGCCTGTAATCCCAGCACTTTGGGAGGCCGAGGCGGGCGGATAACGAGGTCAGGAGATTGAGACCATCCTGGCTAACACAGTGAAACCCCGTCTCTACTAAAAAATACAAAAAATTAGCTGGGCGTGGTGGCGGGCGCCTGTAGTCCCAGCTACTTGGGAGGCTGAGGCAGGAGAATGGTGTGAACCCAGGAGGTGGAGCTTGCAGCGAGTAGAGATTGCGCCATTGCACTCCAGCCTGGGCGACAGAATGAGACTCCGTCTCAAAAAAAAAAAAAGAAAAGAAAAGAAAAGAAAAAAGATTCTTGCAGGTAGAGTCTCAGAATTGAAAATCAGAGGCCGGGCGTGGTGGCTCACACCTGTAATCCTAGCACTTTGGGAGGCTGAGGAGGGCGGATTATGGGGTCAGGAGTTTGAGACCACCCTGGCCAACATGGTGAAACCCCGTCTCTAAGAAAAATACAAAAATTAGCTGGGCGTGGTGGCACGCGTCTGTAGTCCCAGCTACTCGGGAGGCTGAGGCAGAAGAATCGCTTGAACCTGGGAGGCGGAGGTTGCAGTGAGTTGAGATCGTGCCACTGCACTCCAGCCTGGGTGACAACGCGAGACTTTGTTTCAGAAAAAAGGAGAAAAAAAAAAAGAATTGAAGATCAGAATTTCACAGGTGATCACACTCTGAGAAACTACTACAGTGTTATTCAAACTTCCCAATGAAACTCTTTAAATAGATGCTTACTGATCAAACCATGGTCAATAGGAGAATGCAAATTAAAACCATGGATACCACTACATCTCCACTAAAATAGCTAGAATATTAAAAAATGGACAATACTGCTGGGCACGTTGGCTTATGCCTGTAATCCCAGCGCTTTGGGAGGCTGAGGTGGGTGGATCACCTGAGGTCGGGAGTTGGAGACCAGCCTGACCAACATAGAGAAACCCCGTCTCTACTAAAAATACAAAATTAGCCGGGCGTGGTGGTGCATGCCTCTAATCCCAGCTTCTCAGGAGGCTGAGGCAGGAGAACCGTTTGAATTGAACCCGGGAGGCGGAGGTTGTGGTGAGCCGTGATCGCGCCATTGCACTCCAGCCTGGGCAACAAGAGCAAAACTCCGCCTCGGAAAAAAAAAAAAAAAAAAAAGGACAATACCAAGATCTGGTGAGGATTCAAAGCAACTAAACTCACACATCATCAGTGGGGATATACAACTGACTTTGTAAAAGTTTGGCAGTTTCTTAAAATGTTAAACATAAGCTTACCATATGACCCAGCAATCCCACTCCTATTTACCCAAGATAACTGAAAAGTTAGATTCACAAAACAGCCTGTAGTTGATACACAGTGATGGCAGCTTTAATCATAGTTGCCCATACTGAAAATGCCCAAATACCCTGCCATGGGTGAACGGATAAACAAATGGCTCCATCCATACAATGGAATGCTACTCGGTGCAAAAAAGCACTCTACACAGGCAATATGGATGACTCCAATGCATCATGTTCAGTAAAAGCAGCCACGTGCAAACAGCTGCACACTATTTCTGGAAATGGTGAGGTGATGGATAGAGGATAGAAAACAAACCAGTGGTTTCCACGGACTGGGGTTGAGGAGGGGTTAACCACAAGAGAGCACAAAGGAATTCTGGGTGGTGGTGAAGATGTTCAATGTCTGGAATGTGGTAGTGGCACAATTGTATGTTTTTGTCAAAGCCCAAAGAACTATACACTAAAAAGAGTAAATTTTATTGTTTATAAATTATGCTTCAATAAACCTGCCTTTAAAAAATTTTTTATCAGTAATTACAATTTTCAAAAGTGGAGATACTTGGTAGGCCCCTGCTTTCTTGGCCCCTAAGGTCCCTCTCTCTGTTAAACTGTAGAGCTCCTTAGAACCAAAACCAAACCACCTTTCATTTTAATGAAAATGAAATGCAAAAACTGGGGCTCCAAGCAAGGAAGAAACGTCTACCTGCAGTTCATCTGGGGGTTGGTGGGAGAGGTGGTGGAGAGAGTAAGGCTAAGCGCCCCCAGCAGGCCCAAGTTCTCTGTACCACACTTGGAGGCAGGTATATGGGACTGAAAGTGGATGTTCTCAGCCACAAGCCTGGGCCTGGATAGGAAACAAAGGATAAGACTGGAAGGATGTCAGGTAGGGTAGACCCAGAGCACCAGCTGGGCTCACTTTTCACGCCCTCCATCCATTCGTCATGAGTATCCGGATACAGCACCACACGGTTCAACTCCTGAGCACAGCAGTAACCTTTACACAGACAGCCTGATTTCCCAGAATGAATTCTCGTGTTTACTTCCAGATTTAATGACTTTGACTTTAGTAGTCATCTGAACTATTTATTTTACTTTGCCAGTAATATTTAGACCTTATATATCTTTCATTATGCCATCTTATCTTCTAATGTCAAGTGAACAGTTGCTAAACTGTCTTCTGCATTTATCACATTAAAAATGTCTTTCTTGGAAAATCTTCTTGATATGAATAAAGTATCTTTTAGAGCCATCATTTAAAGCAGGTTTCTCTCCAACACGAGTCTGCTGAGGTGGTGTGAGCTGTGAACTCTGGCTGAAGGCTTTCCCATACACACTGCAATGACATGGTTTCTGACCAGTGTGAGTTACCTGATGTTGAATAAGGGTTGACTTTCCACTGAAGGCGTTTCCACATTCTTGACATTTATAGGGCTTTTCCCCAGCATGCATTATCTGATCTTCAGTGGGTCGTGAGGTGGGACTGAAAGCTTTTCCATATTCATTACATCCAAAGGATTTCTCACCAGTGTGAACTGTCCAGCGCAGAATGAGATTTGCACCATGGTTAAAGGCTCTGCCGTGCTTCTCTCCAGTGGGAATCTGTCCATCTGCTGTGAGGCTGGAGCCATGAACAAAGGCTGGACCATGTTTTCTGCACTTACGAGTCTCTCCGCTGTGAACTTTCTGATGCTGAATGAGGGTTGACCTCCGGCTGAAGGCCTTCCCACAGTCACCACAGTCATAGGGCTTCTCTCCAGTGTGAACTCGCTGATGTAGGGTGAGCTGGGAGCTCTGGCTGAAAGCTTTCCCACATTCAACGCACTGGTAGGGCTTCTCCCCAGTGTGAACTCTTCGATGCTGAACAAGAGTGGAACTCCGACGAAAGGCTTTGCCGCACTCATTACAAACATAGGGTTTTTCTCCTGTGTGAATCCTTACGTGTTCAGTAAGATGAGAGTTAAAACCAAAGGCTCTGCCGCATTCATTACATACATAGGGTTTCTCTCCAGTATGAACCCGATGATGGAGGAAAAGGCTTGAGCTCTGACTGAAGGCCTTCCCACACTGATTGCATTTATGGGGCTTCTCTCCAGTGTGAATTCTCTCATGCTGAATAAGGCTGGAGCTTCGACTGAAGGCCTTCCCACAGTGACTGCATTCATGCGGCTTCTCTCCAGTGTGAATTCTCTGATGCTGAGTTAACTGGGGGCTCTGGCTAAAGCCTCTTCCACATTCATTACACTTGTAGGGTTTCTCTCCTGTGTGAATGATCCGATGTTGAATAAGAGTTGAGCTTCGACTGAAAGCCTTCCCACACTCACCACAGCCAAAGGGTTTTTCTCCAGTGTGAATTCTCCGATGAAGACGGAGGTGAGAATTGAGTCCAAAAGTTTTCCCACATTCATCACATTTAAATGGTTTATTTCCAGTGTGAATGTGATGGTGCAGAACAAGATTTGAGCTGTGAGTAAAGGCTCGCCCACACCGGCCACATTCGTACGGCTTCTCCCCAGTGTGACTTCTCTGGTGTCTACTTAGGTCTGAATTATATTTGAAGGTTTTGCTGCATATATCACATTTAAAGACCCTCTCTCCTGTTTTATTTCTTTGAAGTCTAACAACATTTTGGTCCAGATTCAAGTTTCTATCAAATGCACTACACTCTTGGGTTCTTTCTCCCAAAGATCTTTCCCTGCCCACGGTAGCTTCTGTTAAAACTCTCTTGTGAATATTGGGTTTGTTCAAACTCTGCCCGGCAGAATTTCCCACGCGCTCTTTGAGTTTGCCCTCACGGCCCCATGCTTCCCGAAACTCAGCGGCCTGTGCATTATCCCTTAAGAGTCTTCTTGATACAAATTCTGGGGTTTTTACTTCTTCGGAAAATTTTTGGTTTAAAATAGATAGTTCCTTCTTGGTCCCAACCTCAGAATCTGTTAAAGAAAAATATAAATGAGTTACTAGAGAAAACCTTCCATCAGGCATAATGTCCATAATGTGGTAGAAGCTCCTATAAACCATCATGCAGAAGGCAGATGCTCCAATAGGAAAAGATGTGAAAGGCAGAATTCAGAAGTAAAGATGGGATGGCCAATCAACAGGATAAAAATATTCAAGTTCATTAGTTATCAAAGTAGTCAAATCAAAACAAATTACGATTTTTCACCTATCAAATTGGCAAATTATTCAACAAATATTTAGAAGGCCAGGCGTGTTCTAGGTAAGGAATATACAGGAAGGTAAATATAGTCTCTGATCTCATGAAGCTTATGTTCTACTCAATTAGATAGCAAGTAAGTTCTTAAAAATAATGATACACCATGTGACAGAAACTGTGTAAATGTGTTATTGGCCCCAACCTAGTCTACATGGTCAGAGAAAATGCCAGGAGTGAGATTCAAGCTGAAACCTGACAAAAGAAGTAAGTTAGCAGTGACAGACAGGAAGGCCTGGGCCTGGCTGTGATGCACAAAAATATCCACCGAGTTCCTGATGTAAAGAATCTGGGCCAGGGCCAGGCGCGGTGGCTCACGCCCGTAATCCCAGCACTTTGGGAGGCCGAGGTGGGCGGATCACGAGGTCAGGAGATCGAGACCATCCTGGGTAACACGGTGAAACCCCGTCTCTACTAAAAATACAAAAAAATTAGCCAGTCGAGGTGGCAGGCGCCCGTAGTCCCAGCTACTCAGGAGGCTGAGGCAGGAGAATGGCGTGAACCCAGGAGGCGGAGCGAACCCGGGAGGCAGAGCTTGCAGTGAGCTGAGATCGCGCCACTGCACTCCAGCCCGGGCAACAGAGCAAGACTCCGTCTCAAAAAAAAAAAAAAAAAAAAAAAAAGAATTAAAGCAACAATCATGCCGTGTACTGTTGGTGGGACTGTAAATAAATGACCTTTTTTTGAGATAGTGTCTTGCTCTGTTTCCCAGGCTGGAGTGCCACGGTGCAACCACAGTTCACAGCAGCCTTGACCTCTCAGGCTCAAGCAATCTTCCTGCCTCAGCCTCCCAAGTAGCTGGGACTACAGGTGCAGGCCACTGTGCCTAGCCAAAATATAACTTTTTTAAAAAGCTGACAATATGTAGCCAAAAAATTGATATCTCACACACCCTTTGTCCCCCAAACTACTCCCCTAGGATCCATCCTAAGTGGACTGCCATATGTACGTTGAAATGACTACAATGATGCTCGCTGCATTTTGTAATTGGGGGGAAACAAGGAAGAACCCAAATGTCCAAAAACGGGGCTGTTTAAACCCAGTAAAAACTATTCACATAATGGAATACAATTCTACCATTATTATAATAGAAAGATATATAATTAAATGAAAAGCTCATATTACAAAGAGAAGAATCAGGTTCTAAAATTATATGCACAGCATAAACCAACTTTTATTGAACATAGATATATATGTAAGATAGTTGCTATTTCTTCCTTAACTGTTTAGTACAAGTCGGTGAAGCCATCTGGGCTTGGCATTTTTTCTGAGGAAGGGTTTTAAATTATGAGTCAATTTATTTAGCACTCAAACAATTATGTATCCACCACCACCTTTTTTCTTTCTTTCTTGTTTTTTTTTTCTTTGAGACAGAGTTTCACTCTTGTTGCCCAGACTGGAGTGCAATGGCACGATCTCGGCTCACCACAACCTCCACCTCCTGGGTTCAAGCGATTCTCCTGCCTCAGCCTCCCGAGTAGCTGCGACTACAGATGCTCACCACTATGCTCGGCTAATTTTTTGTAATTTTAATAGAGACGGGGTTTCACCGTGTTGCCTAGGCTGGTTGCAAACTCCTGAGCTCAGGCAATCCGTCCGCCTCGGCCTCCCAAAGTGCTGGGATTACGGGCGTGAGCCATCGCACCCGGCCTCTTTTTTTAAAAGACAGGGGCTTGGAGTACAGTGTTGTGATCACAGCTCACTGCAGCCTTGAACTCTTGGGATCAAGTGCTCCTCCCACTTCAGGCTCCCGAGTAGCTGGGACTACAGGTGTGCACCACCTGTAGTCTGGCTAATTCCTTATTTTTTTGTAGAGACAGGGTCTCACTGTGTTGCCAGGCTTGTCTCCAACTCCTGACCTCAAGCAATCCTCCTGCTTCAGCCTCCCAAAGTGCTGGGATTACAGGTGTGAGCCACTGCACTCAGCCCAATATATCTTTTTATGATAGTCTGAAATATCTAGGTGGTGCCTCCTTTTTCATTTCGGTTATTTGTTCATTCTGTTTTATTCTTCATCAGTTACATCCAGAAAACAGAGACATGCTACATGCTCCAACAGTGTATGTGAGGTTAATTCATCTTTGATACCAAAATTTGACAACAGTACGAGAAAACAAAACTGAAGGCTGATCTCATTCACAATGACGGATGTAAAATCCCTAAACAAAATTTTCAGAAGCCAAATCCTGTCATATATGTAACAAGGATAACACATCATCAACAAGTGGGTTTATTTCAAGAATGCAGTGTTAGGCTGGCGTGGTGGCTCACACCTATAATCCCAGCACTTTGGGAGGCCCAGGAGGGTGGATCACTTGAGGCCAGGAGTTTGAGACCAACCTGGCCAACATGGTGAAACCCCATTTCTATCAAAAATACAAAAATTAGCTGGGTGTGATGATCCTCACCTGTAGTCCTAGCTACTCGGGAGTCTGAGACAGGAGAATTGCCTGAACCCAGGAGGCAGAGGTTGCAGTGAGCTGAGATTGTGCCACTGCACTCCAGCCTGGGCGACAGCGAGACTCTGTCTCAAAAAAAAAAAAAAAAAAAAAAAAAGAATGCAAAGTTAGTATAGTATTAGAAAATCAGGCTGGGCACAATGGCTCACATCTGTTATCCCAGCACTTTGGGAGGCAGAGGTGGGCAGATCACTTGAGGCTAGGAGTTCAAGACCAGCCTGGCCAACATGGCAAAACCCCGTCTCTACTAAGAAATATGTAAAAATTAGCCAGGTGTGGTGGCGCATACCTGTAGTCCCAGCTACTCGGGAGGCTGAGGCAGGAGAATTGCTTGAACCAGGAGATGGAGGTTGCAGTGAGCCAAGATTGTGTCATTGTACTCCAGCCTGGGTGACAGAGTGAGACTCTGTCTCAAAATAATAATAATAATAAAAATAAAGACTATTAGAAAACTTAGCCAGGCATAGGTTGGGCGCGGTGGCTCACGCCTGTAATCCCAGCACCTTGGGAGGCCGAGGCGGGTGGATCACAAGGTCAGGAGATCGAGACCATCCTGGCTAACACGGTGAAACACCGTCTCTACTAAAAATACAAAAAATTAGCCAGGCGCGGTGGCAGGTGCCTGTAGTCCCAGCTACTCGAGAGGCTGAGGCAGGAGAATGGCGTGAACCCGGGAGGCGGAGCTTGCAGTGAGCCGAGATCGCGCCACTGCACTCCAGCCTGGGCAACAGAGCAAGATTCTGTCTCCAAAAAAGAAAAAAAAGAAAAGAAAAAAAGAAAACTTAGCTGGGCATGGTGGTGCACACCTGTAGTCCCATCTACTCAGGAGGCTGAGGTGGGAAGACCACTTGAGCCCAGGAGTTTGACATTAGTCAGTTATGATGGTGCCACTGCACTCCAGTATGGGCAACAGAGGGACGCCCTGTCTCTGAAAAAAAATTTTTTTTAGTGAAAGAACCCAAACATTGAAGAGTGTATGCTGTAAAATTCCATTTATAAAAAGTTCAAAACCAAGCAAAACTCAGTGATTATCCCTGGGGCAGTAGTGCCTGGCAGGGACACCACTAGGCTTCTGTAGAGCTGATAATGCTTTGTTTCCTAATCTGTGCCGGTTCCATGGCTGGGTCTGATTTGTAAACATTCAATAAACAATACAATTTGTGTACATAGTCCCTAACAAGAGAGGCAGCCTGTCCTTTGAAGCTTTGAAGCCAGGCATTGCCTTCTCTCTAGCTATGGGAGTCCTAGATGGCATCTTCTTGCAATAGAAGGCTGTTTTGTCTACACTGAAAATCTATTATTCAGTGTAGCCACCTTCATCAATCATCTTAGCTAGGTCTTCTGGACAACGTGCTGCAGCTTCTCCATCAGCAGTGGCTGCTTCACCTTGTGCTTTTGTTATGGAGACTACGTCTTTCCTTAACCCTCATGAACCAACCTCTGCCAGCTTCAAGGTTTTCTTCTGCAGCTTCCTTACCCCTCTCAGCTTTCGCATAATTGAAGAGAGTTGGGGCCTTGCTCTTGAGGCGAAGCTTTGGCTTAAGGGAATGTGTCTGGTTTGATCTTCTATCCAGACAGTTTGAGGGGGACTGAAACTGTCTCCATATCAGCAATAAGGCTGCTGTACCTTCTTGTCATTCATATGTTCACCAGAATAGCACTCCCAATTTCCTTCAAGAACTTTACTTTTTACTGTTATTTTCTTTTTGAGACAGGGTCTCACTCTGTCACCCAGGCTGGAGTGCAGTGGTGTGATCATAGCTCACTGCAGCCTCAAACTCCTGGGCTCAAGCGATCCTCCTGTCTCAGCCTCCTGAGAAGCTGGGACTACAGGCTTGATCCACCACGCCTGAAGAAGTTTTGCTTTGCATTCACAACTTAGCTAACAGACGCAAAAGGCCTGGCTTTGGCCTGTCTCAGTTTTCACCGCACCTTCCTTACTAAACTTGGTCATTTCTAACATTTGCAATAAAGCGAGAGGTGTGTGACTCTTCCTTTCATTTGAACACTTATAGGCCATTCCAGGGTTATTAATTGGCCTAGTTTCGATATTGCTGAGTCTCAGGGAATATGGAGGCCCTAGGAGAGAGAGAGGGAGGTAGGGAATGGCTGATCAGTGGGTCAGGACAGCCAACACTCATCGATTAAGCTCACCGTCTCATACAGGCAGAGTTCATGGTGCCCTTGAAACAATTACAATAGCAACATTAAAGATCGCAGATCACAGAGCACCATAACAGATATAAAAAAAAGGTTTGAGGCCAGGCGCAGTAGCTCATGCCTGCAATCCCAGCACCTTGGGAGGCCGAGACGGGCGGATCACGAGGTCAGGAGATCGAGACCATCCTGGCTAACATGGTGAAACCTCATCTCTACTAAAAATACAAAAAATTAGCCGGGCGTGGTGGTGGGCGCCTGTAGTCCCAGCTACCCGGGAGGCTGAGGCAGGAGAATAGCATGAACCCGGGAGGCGGAGCTTGCAGTGAGCCGAGATCGCGCCACTGCACTCCAGTCTGGGCGACAGAGCAAGGCTCCGTCTCAAAAAAAAAAAAAAAAAGGTTTGAAATACTGCAAGAATTACCAAAATGTGACACAAAGAAGTGAGCACGTGCTGTTGAAAATGGCACTGACAGACTTGCTCAACACAAGGTCGTCACAAACCTTCAATTTGTAAAAAAAAATGTTCGCCAGGCGCAGTGGCTCGCACTTGTAATCCCAACAGTTTGGAGGCCCAGGGGGGCAGATCACCTGAGGTCAGAAGTTTGAGACCATCCTGGCCAACATGGTGAAACCCTGTCTCTACTAAAAATACAAAATTAGCCAGGCATGGTGGCGCGCGCCTGTAATCCCAGCTACTTGGGAGGCTGAGGCAGGAGAATCACTAGAACCTGGGAGGCGGAGGTTGCAGTGAGCTGAGATCGCGCCATTGCACTCCAGCCTGGGCGACGAGCAAGACTCCATCTATGGAAAAAAAAAAAAAAAAAAAGCAGCAGTATCTGCAAAGCCACAACAAAGTGAAGTGGAATAAAATGAAGTGTGCCTGACCTATATTCATGTTAAAATTTAAAAATACGAGTTTACTCCTAAAGCTCCTGGTTATAAAAGTCAAAAGAAAAATTGGGATAAAAACGAAAACAAAATTTTATGTCATTTTCTCCATGCGTAGTGCCCTTTTAGCAAGCATATAAGATTCCTTTTATTTATTTATTTTTATTTTTTTTTTTTTTTTTGTGAGATAGAGTCTTGCTCTGTCGCCCAGGCTGGAGTGCAGTGGCGCAATCTCGGCTCACTGCAAGCTCCGCCTCCCGGGTTCACGCCATTCTCCTGCCTCAGCCTCCCGAGTAGCTGGGACTACAGGCGCCCGCCACCACGCCCGGCTAATTTTTTGTATTTTTAGTAGAGACGGGGTTTCACTGTGTTAACCAGGATGGTCTCGATCTCCTGACCTCGCCATCCACCCGCCTCGGCCTCCCAAAGTGCTGGGATCACAGGCGTGAGCTACCGCACCCGGCCTAAGATTCCTTTTAAATGCCAGGGTCCTCCCTGATGTCTCATATCAACGTAACTGCCCGCTTAAAAATAGATCTCTTGGGATGGGCATGGTGGCTCGCGCCTGTGATCCCCGCACTTTGGGAGGCTGAAATGAGAGGAGAGCTTGAGCCCACGAGGTGGAGGCTGCAGTGAGCTGAGACCGCACCTCCGCACTCCAGCCTGGGCAGCAGAGTGAGACCCTGTCTCTGAAGAACCAAAACCAAAACAGATCTCTCATCAGGCTATCAACAGGTTACATGTGTTTTTTGTGACTACTCAGATAAAGATGTTCAATTGTAACAGTTTCTCAACATTGCAGGCAGGGCTGAGCCCACCCAGGGCTGGCGTTGTTCCCAGGAGCGGGTGCCCTCACCCACCAACTCGAGGCCGCTCACTCACTGTGCAGCTGTATGGCAGGCCCAGCAGTGCCTCTCCCTTCGTACATCACCAGAGTCGGCTGAAAAGTGCCAAAAGAGAACTCAGGAACCAAACAGGGAAGTGGAGAGCCATGTTTTATCCACCGGGCCTAAAGCCCCTCCAGGCGCGGGGCCCAGAGCGCCAATCCCTGGACTGAAAGAGCAGCAAGGGTGGGCTCTGCTGCCGCCCAGAGGCCTTCCGTGGTAAGACAGCCACGGAAAGCACAGCGCGTGCCGCTGCGACGGGGCGTCCCGGGGGTGACACTGGCATGTGACGCTGCGACGGGGCGTCCCGGGGGTGACACTGGCATGTGACGCTGCGACGGGGCGTCCCGGGGGTGACACTGGCATGTGACGCTGCGACGGGGCGTCCCGGGGGTGACACTGGCATGTGACGCTGCGACGGGGCGTCCCGGGGGTGACACTGGCATGTGACGCTGCGACGGGGCGTCCCGGGGGTGACACTGGCATGTGACGCTGCGACGGGGCGTCCCGGGGGTGACACTGGCATGTGACGCTGCGACGGGGCGTCCCGGGGCAGGGCCCTGCCAAGGGACCCCCAACAAACACGACTGAAACTCAGCCTGGATACAAAGTCCACATGGAGGCACTGCCAGAGACGCCTGCCGGGCCAGGTCAGACATGGCGGTAGGGCAGGACAGGACGGAGCCTGTGGCTCTCCGGGGTGCCCATCACTAACCTCCTTCTTGGACACCCCCGAAACACACTCGAAACTTCTAATGCAGGGCACCTGTGCTCACCACTGCCCCTTCAAAGGCGAACAAACAAAAACAGAATCATCTTTCCCCAGTTGGCTGACAAGATCTTACTCAAGATCTCATGCCATTCAGACACCCAGTGACGGTCGTGGGAACCGCCCCCCTCAGAGGAGACAGCAGCACCTTGGGCACTGTGTCGCGCAGACACATGGGATTAAGACTGAAGACGGACTCTCCTCCAACTGCCCCAACAGGACTTAAATGCTTCCAGATGATGGCTCCCCCGGAGGACCGAGGAAGCCCCATGATGTTAGGGTTCACTACACTGACGTCATCCACGGGATGCCTGGGCCATGAGCTAAGGCCACCTTGCTTCCTGGTCTAAGTCTGGCACAAACCACACACAGGAGCCTTGCTCCCCTGCAAGTTTAGAATATCTCAATCAACACTTTAGTCAAAATGACCACAAACAGTGGCTATCAGAACCATAGTTTCACGAAACTATGCAGTTCTTCGTCTTCCTCCAGCTCCAAAAGTGTGTGTTTCCTCAATGGTATACTGTGTACCGATGGAACTTTCTGGGCAACAATAACATTATATATCTTGATAGAGGTTTGGTTTACACAAGTGTGTCTATTTGTTAAAACTCAGCAAATTCACACTTAAGATTTGTGCATTTCATTTATATAATTTTCACCTCAAAAGAAAAAACTGTAAACAAACACTGATCTCCAATTAATGACACATATGTATTTAAAGGAAGCGTCCTGTTAGTGCTGCTTCTTTGTTATTTTATGTATGTTATCTATGCATTTTGAGACAGAGTCTTGCTCTATTGCCCAGGCTGGAGTGCAGTGGCACGATTTCTGCTCACGGCAACCTCTGCCTCCCAGGTTCAAGCAACTCTCCTGCCTCAGCCTCCTGAGGAGCTGGGATTACAGGCGTGAGCCACCACGCCCTGCTGATTTTTTGTATTTTCAGTAGAGACAGGGTTTCACCATGCTGGCCAGGCAGGTCTCGAACTCCTGACTCCAGGTGATCCGCCCACCTCGGCCTCCCAAAGTGCTGGGATTACAGACATGAGTCACCATGCCCGGCCCAATAATTTTAAAAGTAAAAATAAAATTAAATTCAATAAAGGACATGTCCTGACAGCTGCATTTTTTTTTTTTAAGACAGAGTCTTTCTCCGTCACCCAGGCTGGAGTGCAATGATGCGATCTCAACTCACTGCAACCTCTGCCTCTCAGGTTCAAGTGATTCTCATGCCTCAGCCTCCGGAGTAGCTGGGACTACAGGCATGTGCCACCACGCCTGGCTAATTTTTTTATTTTTTTGTAAAGACGGAGTTTACCATGTTGGCCAGGCTTGTGTCAAACTCCTGGCCTCAAGTGATCCGCCCACCTCAGCCTCCCAAAGTGTTGGGATTACAGGTGTGAGCCACTGTGCCCAGCCTTGCAATTTACTTTAAAAACAAAAACAAAGTACATGATGGGTCTGGTAGAGGGATAGTGGGATAGGGAAACATGATTTCCAAGCATGATAAATGTTAACACAGAACCTTGGTGGTGGGTGTATGGGTCTTCACTATAAAGCTCTTCCAAATTTGATGTATGTCTGAAATCTTCCATAACATGCTGGGGGAAAAAGTGCTGTACATCAATTCTAGATAATTCAAAACCTATGCACGATTGACAGGTCATGGTAAAAAGACGAGTTGGCCAATTACATTAGACTGAGCCAAGCCGGGCGCGGTGGCTCACGCCTGTAATCCCAGCACTTGGGGAGGCCAAGGCGGGGGAATCACGAGGTCAGGAGATGGAGACCATCCTGGCCAACACGGTGAAACCCCGTCTCTACTAAAAATACAAAAAATTAGCTGGGTGTGGTGGCAGGCACTTATAGTCCCAGCTACTTGGGAGGCTGAGGCAGGAGAATGGCGTGAACCCGGGAGGCGGAGCTTGCAGTGAGCCAAGATCGCACCACTGCACTCCAGCCTGGGCGACAGAGCGAGACTCCGTCTCAAAAAAAAAAAAAAAAAAATACATTGGACAGCCTTAGAACCTATCAGACCTCAAAAAACAAACCACAGTAGGTAACTTAATACTAGCAGCAGTAATAATTTGCTTGTATGTAATAAATTGTTGATAAAGGCCAGGCGGGGTGGCTCACACCTGTAATCCCAGCACTTTGGGAGGCTGAGGCGGGTGGATCATCTGAGGTCAGGAGTTCGAGAGCAGCCTGGCCAACATGGAGAAACCCTGTCTCCACTAAAAATACAAAAATTAGCCAGGCGTGGTGGCATATGCCTGTAGTCCCAGGTACACGGGAAGCTGAGGCAGAATTGCTTGAACCCGGGAGGCAGAGGTTGTAATGAGCCGAGATCATACCACTGCACTCCAGCCTGGGCAACAGAGGGAGACTCCGTCTCAAAACAAAACAAAACAAAAATGTTGATAAAATATTACTTAAGTTGGGTGTGGTGGCTCACGCCTGTAATCCTAGCACTTTGAGAGGCTGAGGTGGGAGGATCACTTGAGGCCAAAAGTTTGAGACCTGCCTGGGCAAGATGTTGAGACCCCACCTCTAAAGCAGACCACAGTGCAGCACGCCTGTTTCTGAGCTGCCTCCGCATGTGCTATGCTCTTTGACATGAGCTCCGGCTGCCATGAGGCCTCCGGCAGCGGCCTGAGTTCCCAACCCCTCCCTCTTGGTCCCTGTGGGTCAGAGGCCACCGCTACAACCCCACCTACACACAGCTGCTTGACTGGACGCAAAACCTGGACTGATAATGGAGCAGGAGCCCTCCTTGGACGTGTTTGCTTCAAACCCTTGCACCCCTCTTCTCCATCTGGGCTTCCACCCATACCCTGGAACCCAGGAAGGCAGATGCCCCAGATCCTCGCCCTCCATCCTCTCTCCTCGCGCCGACCTCCATGTGGCCTTCAGGCGTGCCGTGTACCCCCAAGACATATACGTAAGCAAATCTTTATTTTCCATCTTGTGTCTGATCACTGAAGAGGTTTTCTCAAGAGAAACAAAAGGAAAAAAGAAAAAAAGAAAAAACCCTGGAACAGCTAACACCGTTGCTGGGAGGGAGCGCACCCATGCTTAGCATGAGATGCTTCAGCTGCGCCTGGCTGACTAAAATCACCGCCAGTGGGGACAACTACATCTGGGAAGACAGAGATGCCGCTAGGTCTGTTCCGCAGCCGGCAGAATCTTAGGCTGCACGTGCCAGATGCCTAAACTGTGCAGCCTGAATGACTGTTGGGCAGGTAAGCGTGGCTCTGTGTTTCCGAAATCCTGACCCAGGAGGCGCCCACTCAGACCACAGTCCCTCTGTTGGGACCTTCCCATGCCACACCTGCCTGGTGTTTTCCTTTGTCCCAGCGCTGAGCCGAGCGGAGCTCCTGGCTGTAAGGACACCTCCCGTGGCGTTCACAGGTATCCAGGTCTACTGCAGACCCCAGACCATGGGCAATCCCTGCAGGGCTGGTCATGACCCCTTGCAAATATCCATGCTTTGTCCCTGTGGCTGTCGGCCCTGTCCCCCAACTCCAGCGGGTGTCACGGGTCTAATCCCTGGCACAAACCGGCTACGATTGGTGGGCAAAAGCAAATGCCCTGAGCACCCGGTTCCTGCCCCACCGGACGCTGGAGGCCTCCACCTGGCTCTGAGATGAGTGTAAGGCTCACAGCAACGGCATGAACTCTACTTGGTGCCGCTGGCCCTGTGGTCCTGGGGCCTGGGGGCCAACCCTGACACCAGAAAATGACGGCGCTGGTGGGTGCTGACCCTGGGTCAGTGACCTCCCACAGAGGTCACTGGGACACCCTGAAGAGGGAGGCGCTGCCTGAAAGGTAGGGACACACAGAGGTCACCCTCAGATTCTTCTGGTAATAATCTCAAAGGTCAAAATCACAGGAGACGGGCGAATTAGAACTGGAGACCAAAATTCCTCTGTGGTAGAAAATTCAAATTTGTCTTAAGGGATTTTGCAGGCCGGGCGTGGTAGCTCACGCCTGTAATCCCAGCACTTTGGGAGGCCGAGGTGGGTAGATCACCTGAGGTCAGGAGTTTGAGACCAGCCTGACCAACACAGAGAAACCCCGTCTCTACTAAAAATACAAAAATTAGCCAGACGTGGTGGTGCATGCCTGTGATCCCAGCTACTTGGGAGGCTGAGGCAGGAGAATCACTTGAACCAGGGAGGCAGAGGTTGCAGTGAGCCAAGATCGCACCACTGCACTCCAGCCAGGGGACAAAGCAAGACTCCGTCTCAAAAAAATAAAAAAAAAAGAGATTTTACATTGGCTGGGCATGGTGGCTCACGCCTGTAATCCCAACACTTTGGGAGGCTGAGGAGGGTAGATCATCTGAAGTCAGGAGTTCGAGACCATCCTAGCCAACATGGTAAAACCCCATCTCTACTTAAAATACAAAAATTAGCTGGCCAGTAGTGGAGTGCACCTGTAATCCCAGCTACTTGGGAGGCTGAGGTGGGAGAATTGCTTGAACCCAGGAGGCAGAGGTTGCAGTGAGCTGAGATCACCCCATTGCAGCCTGGGCAACAGAGCAAGACTCCGTCTCAAAAAAAAAAAAAAAAAAAGAGATTTTGTATTTTTGTATTGCCAGAGTGAAAAGGGGGCTGGCCAGCTACTCAGGGCATGTAGTACCAGGTCAGAGTTAGCGCTCACTCCCACAGAAATGTGTACTAAATTCCTCCAGGACACTGGCCCACATCCCCCACATCTGTCCCTCAATGTGGCCAATCCCATGCCCACAAATCAGAAAAAGCACTGACGAGGTCACGGAAGCCTCACCGGGTGGGAAGGACGGGCGCACTCGGAGCCTCCGTGCCGTGGATACTCAAGGTGTGGCCCAGACTCAACCGCCCACCATAGTGACAACAGCCAGAGCTCACTGTAGAGTGGCCCTGGAGACCACACCCACCTCCTGCTAAGTGATGGCAGACAGCAAGAGGGGTCTGTTGTCTCTTTGAATGCCACTGCCGGGGTACCATGGGACTATCTCCAGTCCTGAAGAGGCTCCTCTCAGTCACACGGCAGCTCTGGACAAGACTTGTGCAAAGGTGAGACATGGGCAGCTGCTTCCTGGTGCTCGGCAGTCGCCTGCTGAGGGCCCCCAGCCGGACCTCAACTGACCCTGGCCCCCCACAGCGGGACCCAGGCCTCACCATTATTTTCCCTGAGCACCTGGAAACCCTTCCCCAAATCCCTGGACTAAGAACCGGACCCTCATGGGCCCCCACGCTGGGCGGCTGTGCCCAACGCCCTCATCATGGGACAACCAGAAAACAAGCTGGTGGCCGTCAAACACCTGGGCTCACGCAGCCGCATTTCTGAAGGCTGAGGACCCTCGACAGCCTGTTCTCACAGAACACTAATACCCTCCCTCCTTTCCCGACTTGAGAGAATGGCAGCCTCCTCATCCCTTAGCCTGGGGACTTGGTGGTCCTCCAGGGACTATCCCACTCTGAGGGGACAATTACCCTTTTACTACTCTATTAATTGGGACAAGAAAAACTTTCAGTACTTTATAAGGGGGCCCAAGTCACAGTAGTTCCTGAGGAGCCTACAAAAGGGAAAGCTTTTAAAATAAAGGGAATCACGAACAAACCCTCGGGAGTTCACCTTCCTTTATTTTATTTATTTATTTATTTATTTATTTATTTATTTATTTATTTATTTATTTTTGAGACAGAGTTTCGCTCTTGTTGCCCAGGCTAGAGTGCAATGGCATGATCTTGGCTCACCGCAACTTCCACCTCCTGGGTTCAAGTGATTCTCCTGCCTCAGCCTCCCAAGTAGCTGGGATTACAGGCAGGCGCCACCACGCCCAGCTAATTTTTATATTTTTAGTAGAGTTGGGGTTTCTCCAAGTTGGTCAGGCTGGTCTTGAACTCCCGACCTCAGGTGATCCATCTGCCTTGGCCTCCCAAAGTGATGGGATTACAGGCGTGAGCCACCGTGCCCGGCCTACTTTATTATTGTTAATTTTTGAGATGGAGGTTTTTTTTGGTTCTTGTTGCCCAGTTTGAAGTGCAATGGCGTGGTCTCGGCTCACTGCAACCTCCGGCTCCCGAGTTCAAGCAATTCTCCTGACTCAGCCTCCCAAGTAGCTGGGATTACAGGCGCCCACCACCATGCCTGCTAATTTTTTTGTATTTTTAGTAGAGATGGGGTTTCACCATGTTGGCCAGGCTGGTCTTGAATTCCTGACCTCCGATGATCCGCCTGCCTTAGCTTCCCAAAGTGCTGGGATTACAGGCGTGAGCCACGGCACCCGGCCTATTTTATTTTGCTTAAGACAGTCTTGCTCTGTTGCCCAGGCTGGAGTACAGTGGATGATCTCAGCTCATGGCAGTCTTGACCTTCCAGGCTCAAGCAATCCTCCCACCTCAGCCTCCCGAGTAGCTAGGATTACAGGTGCTCACTACCACACCCAGTTAATTTTTGTATTTTTAGTAGAGATGGGGTTTTACTATGTTGGCCAGGCTGGTCTTGAACTCCTGGTCTCAAGTGATCTGCCCGCTTTGGCCTTTTAAAGTGCTGGGATTACAGGCATGAGCCACCTGGGAGCTACTCGGGAGGCTGAGGCAGGAGAATGGTGTGAACCCGGGAGGTGGAGCTTGCAGTCAGAGTGCAGATCTCGCCACTGCACTCCAGCCTGGGTGACAGAGCGAGATTCCGTCGCAAAAACAAACAAACAAACAAACAAAAAACCAGCTACGAGGCTGGGCGCAGTGGCTCACACCTGTAATCCCAGCACTTTGGTTGGGAGGCCAAGGCGGGTGGATCACAAGGTCAGGAGATCGAGACCATCCTGGCTAACACGGTGAAACCCCGTCTCTACTAAAAATAGAAGAAATTAGCCAGGCGTGGTGGCAGGCGCCTGTAGTCCCAGCTACTTGGGAGGCTGAGGCAGGAGAATGGCGTGAACCCGGGAGGCAGAGCTTGCAGTGAGCCGAGATCGAGATCGCACCACTGCACTCCAGCCTGGGCAACAGAGCGAGACTCTGTCTCAAAAAAAAAAAAAAAAAAAAAAAAAGGGTTATGCTATCACCCCACATAAAATACAGGGGCCGGTGCCTTCAGTAAAATTCTTGGGCACTGTCTGGTCAGGGTGCAGCAGATCCTATTAATCGTTAAACATAAACTGCTGACACTGTTACCACCCACAGGTCTTTGACGGACACATTTATTTGGATTCTTCATGTTTTGGAGACAAGAGTTTCCATATCTTACTCTAATACCCAGACCCTTTTCTGCCATAACCTATAAAGCAAC
The DNA here is from genome assembly GCF_000001405.40 of Homo sapiens. NCBI lineage: Eukaryota > Metazoa > Chordata > Mammalia > Primates > Hominidae > Homo > Homo sapiens. The sequence continues at coordinate 112,585 of NT_187569.1, forward strand.
CACCTCTCAGTGGGGAGGCTCCACAGCCCTCACCCGGCCCAGCAGGCGGCCCAGCACACCATGCCACCATGCCTCCAGGTCCCACTCTTGCATGGAAGCTCTGGCGACACCCACTCTGCCTCGTGGAGTCTCAGGAGGAAACATGGTCCACCTGGTTGCCCATGGGGTTCTGAACTCAACAAGCCCCAAAGAGCAGCTCAATATGCCCCGTAGAAAGGCAAACGCTATCCGCCTATTGAGCTCGATTAGAAACTGAGGGTCCCACACTGAGTGGAAGCAGCACCCCTGTGGACTCCAATCCCCACCATGCCACAGCTCAGGACACCTCCCACCCAGCACAGGCAGGTGCCTCCTTGCTACATGGAAATGGCAACTGCGGGACCAGGCTGACCTGACACACAGGGTCTTCCCAAACTCCAGGAGGGTGTGGCTTTACTCATCCCCGGCCCCTTCCTCATGGTGTTGGAGGACCAATCAGTCAAATTGGCAGCCTCGTGATGCAACATGCCTGCAAGTCCAAACTGCCTTCTGCCCATAGATTTAGACTCAGTCAGGCAAGTGGAAACAGCACAGTTCTCTCGTTCAAGGCAACCTCGTGGGGGCACCTGTTTGTGGAAACAGGATGGTTTTCTTGTTCAAGGCAACCTCGTGGGGGCACCTGTTTGTGGAAACAGCACAGTTCTCTCATTCAAGGCAACCTCCTGGGGGCACCTGTTTGTGGAAACAGGATGGTTTTCTTGTTCAAGGCAACCTCATGGGGGCACCTGTTTGGGAAGAAGTTGCCTCCTAAGGGCTTCCTCACTTTAGTCTGCAAGGGATCACAATAAATGCAGGGTGACACTTGAAACAGCGCCAGAGATGCACACAGCAGCCCTCCCAGGGGACTACAAGGCCTTCCTGACGGGGATGGCCAACTGGGGACACACCATTCATCCACCTGGACAGCCCCCATCTCATGGGGGATGACATCGCTCCAACTTCAACACCGAGAACACAGACCCTCCCTGCTGCTGACTCCCATCACGACTCCACCCCTCCAAACTAGGATCACAAATCACGACTCCACTCCCTGAAACCAGGATCACAAATCACAACTCCACTCCCCCAAACTAGGATCACAAATCACAACCCCACCCCCCCAAAACTAGGATCACAAATCATGACTCCACCCCGCCAAACTAGGATCACAAATCACGACTCCACCTCCCCAAACTAGGATCACAAATCATGACTCCACTCCCCAAACTAGGATCACAAATCATGACTCCACTCCCCCGCCTAAACTAGGATCACAAATCACGACTCCACTCCCCCGCCTAAACTAGGATCAAAAGGGTTGCCTCTGTCCAACTATGGACTTGCAACTAGACTCCAACCTACAGGGCTTTCTACAAAATATAGAGCCCAGGGATGCCAGGAACCTTATTTTGCTGAAATAGCCTACGCTTGACATATGAACTACATAGCAACAAAAATGCCCAAAGTGCCGGAATTACAGGTGTGACCACTGTGCCCGGAAACCTCATGTATTTTGATGCTGTAATCCCAGCACTTTGGGAGGCCAAGGCAGGTAAATTGCTTGAGCCCAGGAGTTCAAAACCACCCTGACCAATATGGTGAAACCTTGTCTCTACCAAAAATACAAAAATTATCTGGGCATGGTGGAGCGCACCTGTAGTCCCACTCAGGAGGCTGAGGCGGGAGGATCACTTGAACCTGGGAGGGTAAGGCTGCAGCGAGCCAAGATGGCACCACTGCACTCCAGCCTTGGTGACAGAGCAAGGCTCTGTTTCAAAAAAAAAAAAAGCATTTCATTATCTGGTCCCAGTGGGAACAAAGTTTAGCTCTGAATCTTCTCATGTCTTCTTCAGGAAACCACAAAAATAACAACAGAAAAATACATGCCAGGTGCCATGGCTCACGCCTGTAATCCCAGCACTTTGGGAGGCCGAGGCGGGCAGATCACCTGAGGTCCGGAGTTCGAGACCAGCCTGACCAACATGGAGAAACCCCGTCTCTACTAAAAATACAAAATTAGCCAGGTGTGGTGGTGCATGCCTGTAATCCCATCTACTCCGGAGGCTGAGGCAGGAGAATGGCTTGAACCCGGGAGGTGGAGGTTGCTGTGAGCCGAGATCGCGCCATTGCACTCTAGCCTGGGCAACAAGAGTGAAACTCCGTCTCAAAAATAATAACAACAGAAAAATACAAACAAGCAAAATGAAGTTTTGTTGTGTTTTAACTTCATTTTCAGGCTGGGCGCAGTGGCTCATGCCCGTAATCCCAGCACTTTGGGAGGCCGAGGTGGGTGGATCACCTGAGGTCAGGAGTTCGAGACCACCCTGGCCAACATGGTGAAACCCTGTCTCTACTAAAAATACAAAATTAGCAGGGTATGGTGGCAAGCACCTGTAATCCCAGCTACTTGGGAGGCTGAGGCAGGAGAATCACTTGAACCTGGGAGGCAGAAGTTGCACTGAGCCAAGATGGCACCACTGCACTCCAGCCTGGGCAACAAAACAAGACTAAATCTCAAAAAAAAATAAAAATAGGCCACCATGGTGGCTCACGCCTGTAATCCCAGCACTTTGGGAGGCTGAGGCGGGCAGATTGCCTAAGCTCAGGAATTCGAGACCAGCCTGACCAACATGGTGAAACCCCATCTCTACTAAAAATACAAAATTAGCTGGGCGTGGTGGCAGGTGCCTGTAATCCCAGCTACTCGGGAGGCTGAGGCAGGAGAATCACTTGAACCTGGGAGGCGCAGGTTGTGATGAGCTGAGATGGCGCCATCGCACTCCGGCCTGGGCAAGAAGAGCGAAACTCCGTCTCAAAAAACAAAAAAAAAGAAACAAAAAAAAACCCCCAAAAATAAATAAATAAAAATAATGAAATAAAACTGCATTTTCAAGGACAACAGGAGGCCCTGGAGGCTGAGTTCCTCGAAGTGCTGCCGAAGGCAATGCCAGAAGGGAACAGTCCCAGTAGCCGGAAGGAGCCACAGAAAAGCAGCATCGCAAACGCAGACGGGCCCGAGGTGGATCTCAAAAGTGTCCAAAAGGAGCTGGCCCAACCCAGGAAAGAACATCTGTGAGTGGGGCCAATACTGACGATGGCAGAGCCCTGGGACAGGCCAACACACAAGCCTCAGAAAGCTCAGTGCCCAGGGCACAGTGGTGACAGCTCGTGGATATGCCAGCAAAATCTAACTTGTGAAGGTACATGCTGGTGACCAGCTGCACAGATGTACACACACACTCATACACACACTCACACACACTCACATGCGTAAACATGTACATACACACGATGCAGATACACATACACCCATACATACAGAATCCACAGTCTCCACTCCAAAATTAACAAACACATAAAGAACCAAGAAAATAGAGCACGTTTTTGTGAGAAAAGGAAATCAACCATCTGACCCTGAAATGAGTCAGATGTTGAAACTAACAGACAAGGATTTAAAAACAGGAATTATAATTATCCTCAGTGAAGTAAAACAAAACAGGAAAATCTCAGGGAGTGAAAACTCTCAGCAGAGACACAGAAATAATAAAAAGGAATAAAACAGTCATTCTGGAACTGAAGAACACAATCTCTGAAATAAAGCATTACTTGACAGACTAACAGCTGAATGGGCACAATAAAGGAAAGAGTAAGTCAACTTGAATCGAGATGAACAGAAATTATCTGAAGAATACAGATAAAAATATTTTAAAAATAATAAACAGCCTTACAAATCTGTTAGATAATTCAAATGGTCACTTATAATTGGTATCTCAGGAGACCAGAGAGAGAATGGTACAGAAAGAAATGTGAAGAAATAATGGTCAAAAATTTCCCAAATTTGATGAAAGACAGAAATCTACAGGATCAAGATGCTATATGAACACCTAGCAGAGTAAAAACCAAGAGGCCGGTGCTGCAGTACATCAGAGTCCACCTGCTGGGAACCGAAACGACAGGCAGCTCACCTCAAAAGCAGGAGAGTGACCCACGACACACCACGAGCCAGTGATCCCATGAATGGCTGACTCCTCATCGAAAGTCAAGGAGGCCAGAAAAGAGTAAAATAGCAGCTTTAAAGTGCTGAATGGGAAAAGGAAAAAAAAAAGCAAAATAAAGGTACTTTCATACACGAGAAAACTAAGAACTGGGGCAGCAGACTCGCACCACGAGAAATGCAAAGGTCTTTGGGCTGAAGGGAAATGGTGCCAGCTAGAAACTCAGATCATCAGAAAGGGATGAAGAGCACTAGAGATGGAAAATCTGGGGAAACATGAGATTTTTTTGAAAATACTTTATTTTTAGAGCATTTCACAGCAATATTAAGCAGAAAACACAGTTCCTGCATACCCCACCCCCCACACACCTCCCCCACTACTTACCTCCCGCAACAGTGATAACAGCGTCACAATGAATGAACCCACACTGACACATCATGACCATCTAAAATCTCAGTTTAGGGCTCACTCGTGGTGCCGCGTGATCTATGGGTTTTGCATCCACCACTGCAGTACTGTACAGACTAGTGTCACCGCCCTAAAAATCCTCTGGCTTCACCCTGCTTCTCTACTCCTTGGCACTGCTGATCTTTTTGCTGTCTCTATAGTGTTGCCTCATCCAGAATGTCACATAGTTGGAATCATACAGTATAGGTGTCCGTTGGTAAACAAAGGGGATTGGGTCCGAGACCCCCACGTATACCCAAATCCATGCATACTCAAGTTCCACAGCTGGCCTTTCAGAATCCACTTATATGAAGCCAGCCCTCTGGACATGGGTTTCACATGTGTTTGGTTGAAAAAAATCCACATATAAGTGGACCTGGGAAGTTCAAACCCATGTTGTTCAAAGGCCAACTGTATCATCTTTTCAGACTAACTGCTTTCACTTGGTAATGTGCACTTAAGGTTCCTCTATGTCTTTTCATAGCTTCGTAGCTCATTTATTTTTATTTATTTTATTTTTGAGACGCAGTTTCACTGTTTCGCCCAGGCTGGAGTGCAGTGGCACCATCTGGGCTCACTGCAAACTCCGCCTCCCGGGTTCAAGTGATTCTCCTGCCTCAGCCTCCTGAGTAGCTGGGATTACAGGCACCAACCACCATGCCTGGCTGATTTTTGTATTTTTAGTAGAGACAGAGTTTCATCATGTTGGCCAGGCTCGTCTCGAACTGCTGACCTCAAGTGATCCACCCGCCTTGGCCTCCCAAAGTGCTGGGGTTACAGGCATGAAGCACCGTGCCCGGCCAATCATTTCCTTTTAGCCCTGAATATGATCCCATTCTCTGGATGTGCCACTGGTTTATTTACCCGCTTATCTACTGAGGAACGTCTCAGTTGCTTCCGACTTTTGGTAATTATGAAATTATGAATAAGGTTTGGTAATTATGAATAAGGCTGCCGTAAATATCTGTGTGCAGGATTTTGTGTGGACATAAATTTTCAATTCATTTGGGTAAATACAAAGGGACAAAACTGCTGGATCACATGGTAAAGGTATGTTTAGTTTTGTAAGACTGTCGAACTGTCTTCCAGAGTGACCACCGTTTTGCATCCCCACCTGCAATGAATCAGAGTTCCTGTTCCACATCTTGGCCAGCACTGGGGGTTATCAGTGGTGTGGATTTTGGCCATTCTAATAGGTGTGCAGTGGAATCTCACTGTTTTAATGTGCAGTTCCTTAGAGATATGACATTGATCTTCTCACAATGCCCACCTGTCATCTGGGTATCTCCTTCCATTCGGAGCCTATTCAGGCCTTTCGCCCATTTTTTAAAATGGGCTGTTCATTTTCTTACTGAGTTTTTTGTGTATTTTGGATAATGGTCATTTATATGTGCCTTTTACAAATATCTTCTCCCAATCTATGGACTGTTTCTCATTCTCTCGTTGTCTTTTTTTTTTTTTTTTTTTTTGGAGATGGAGTCTCACTCTGTCACCCAGGCTGGAGTGCAGTGGCTCAGTCTCGGCTCACTGCAACCTCTGCCTCCCGGGTTCAGGCGATTCTCCTGCCTCAGCCTCTGGAGTAGCTGGAATTACAGGTGCCACCACACACCCAGCTGGTTTTTGTATTTTTAGTAGAGATGGGGTTTCACCATGTTGGCCAGGCTGGTCTCGAACTCCTGACCTCGGGTGATCTGCCTGCCTCGGCCTCCCAAAGTTGATGCCGTCTTTTACAGAGCAGAAGTTTTTCATTTTAATGAAGTCCAGCTTGTCAATTGTTTCTTCCATGGATTGTGCCTTTGGTGTTGTACCTAAAAACTCATTGTCAAACCAAGGTCACCTCTTTTTTTCCTATATTATCATCTAGAAGTTTCACAGTTTTGTGGTTTACATTTAGATGTATGATCCATTTTGCCATGGAATGAAATGTGTCCTGCTCACCCCAAATTCACATGTTGAAGCCTCAATGTGATGACGTTTGGAGATGGGGTCTTTGAGAGGTCATTCGAGTTAGATGAGGTCATGAGGGTCGTCATGGCAGAATTAGTGCTCTTATAAGAAGAGATACCAGAGAACTTGCACTTTCTCTCTCCACCATGTGAGGACACAGTGAGAAGGCAGTCATCTGTAACCTAGAAAGAGACCCCTCACCAGAAACTAACCATGCTAACACACTGATCTCGGACGTGTAGCCTCCAGAACTGTAAGAAAATAAGGCCGGGCGCAGTGGCTCATGTCTGTAATCCCAGCACTTTGGGAAGCCGAGGCGGGCGGATCACCTGAGGTCAGCAGTTCGAGACCAGCATGGCCAACATGGCAAAACCCCATCTCTACTAAAAGTACAAAAACCAGCTGGGCGTGGTGGCGGGCGCCTGTAATCCCAGCTACTAGGGAGGCTGAGGCAGGAGAATCACTTGAACCCAGGAGGTGGAGGTTGCAGTGAGCAGAGATTGTGCTACAGCACCCCAGCCTGGGTGACCAGAACGAGACTCCATATGGAGGGGGACGGGGAGCGGGAGGGGAAGGGGAGCGGAGGAAAGTTACTGTTTTAAGCACTCAGCTTGTGGTTTTAAGTCTGAGCAGAATAAGACACATTTTAAGTTAATTTTTTGTGATGGGTGTCTAGATTCTTTTTTTTTTTTTTTTTTTGGCACGTGGATGTTCAGTTATTCCAGCACCATTTCTTGAAAAGATCATCCTTTCTACATTGAGGTGTGTTTGTTCCCTTGTCAAAGATCAGTTGCATATGTTTATGCAGGTTTTTATCTGGGCTCTCTGTTCTGTTTCATTGATCTATTTTTTCTGTTTTTTGACCAATACCACACTGCCTTGATTACTGTGGCTTTATAGTAAAAGTACTGAAATTGGGTACTATGGGTCCTCCAACCTTGCTCTTCTCTTTCAATATTGAGTTGACTATTCTGGGTCTTTTACCTCTCCTTATAAACATTACAATCAGTTTGCTAATATCCACAGAATAACCTGCTGAGTTTTTTTCGTTTTTTAGAGACAGGGTCTTGCTCTGTCAGCCAGGCTGGAATACAGTGGCATGATCATAACTTACTGAAACCTCAGACTCCTAGGCTCAAGCAGTCCTCCCACCTCAGCCTCCCAAATAGCTGGGAATATAGGCACATGCCACCAGGCCTAGCTAACAAAAAAAATTTTTTTGTAGATATGGGGTCTCACTATGTTGCCTAGGCTGGTCTTAAACTCCTGGGCTTAAGCGATCCTCCTGCCTTAGCCTCCCAAAGTGCTGGATTATAGGCATAAACCACCACACTTAGCCCCTGAGACTGTGATTGAGATTGTGTTGAATCTGTAAATCAAGCAGAGGACTGACATCATGATAATACTGAGTTTTCCTCATGAACAGACTATCTCTTCATTTATTTAGCTCTTCTTTGATATATTTTTATCAGTCTTGTATTTTTCCTCACAGATTTTGTACATATTTTGTTAGACTTACACCTCAGTATTTTATCTTTAGTGGTGCTAATGTAAATAATGTGTTTTTAACTTCAAATTCCACTTCTTCGTTGCCAGTATAAAGGAAAATGTAGATTTTCTGTAGATGCTCTCTATCAACTTGAGGAAGTTCCTCTCTATTCCTAGTTTGTTGAATTTGTAATCATGAATCGAGGTTGGATTTTGTCAAATGCTTTCTCCGCATCTACTGATATGACCACATGATCTTTCTTCAGCCTGTTGATGTGGTACATCACATTACATTAATTTATTTCCTAATGTTGGACCAGCCTTGTAAACCTGGGACAAATCCCACTTGGTCATGGTATATAATTCTTTTTATACATTGTTGGATTTGATTTGCTAATATTTTGTTGGGATTTTTGCATTTATGTTCATAAGAGGTGTCTGTCTGTAGTTTCCTTTTCTTGTAATGTCTGTTTGGTTTTGGCATTTGGGTGGATAACACTGACCTCATATGAGTTAGGAAGTATTCCCTCTGTTTTTATTTTCTGGAAGAGATTATAGAGAACTGGTATAATTTCTTCCTTAAATGTTTGGTAGAAGTCATAAGTGAACCCATCTGAGCCCAGTGGATTCTATTTTGGAAGGTAATTGTTGATTTGACTTATTTAACAGACATAGCCCTATTCAGATTGTCTATTTCTTCCCGTGTTTGGGAGATTGTGTACTTCAAGGAATTGGTTCATTTATCAAATTTGGGCACAGAGTTGTTCATCTTTTTTTTTTTATTACCCTTTAAAAGTCTGTGGGACATCTCTGTAGTGATGTTCCCTCTTTCATTTGATATTAGTATTTTGTGTCCTCTCTCTTCTTTGTCTTAGTCTGGCTAAAGGTTTACTGATTTTATTGTTTTTTCAAACCATCTTCTGGTTTCGTTGATTTTCTCTATTGATTTCCTGTTTTCCATTTCATTGATTTCTGCTTGAATTTTTATTTCTTTTCTTCTGCTTACTTTGTATTTAATTTGCTCTTCTTTTTCTAGTTTCCTAGAGTGAAAGCTTACATTATGATTTTAGATCTTTCCCATTTTCTAATACATGCAGTCAATGCTATAAATTTCCCTCTAAGCACTGCATTCACAGCATTCCACAAATTTTGGTAAGTTTTATTTTCATTTTCACTTAATTCAAAATATTCTAAAATTTATCTTGAGATATCTTCTTTGACTCGTGTTATTTGGAAGTGTGTTATTTGCCAAGTACTTTAGGATTTTCTAGCTATCTTTCTGGTTTCATTTCTAGTTTCATGTCATTGTGGTCTGAGAATAGACATTCTATGTTTTCTATTCTTCAAGTATGTTAAAGTGTTTTGTGGCCCAGAATGTGGTCTATCTTAGTGAATGTTCCACATGAGCTTGGCAGGAATGTGCATTCTGCTATCGTTGGATGAAGCAGTCTACAGATGTAAATTATTCCCAGCTGACTGATGTGATGGTGCTGTTAAACTCAACTGCATCCTGCTGGATCTGTCCATTTACGATAGAGGGTGCTGGATCTCCAACTGCAGACAGTGAACTCATCTATTTCCCCTTGTAGTTCTATCAGTTTTCGCATCACATATTTTGTTGTTGTTGTTTTTTGAGACGGAGTCTCGCTCTGTTGCCCAGGCTGGAGTGCGATGGCGCGAATCTCGGCTGACTGCAACCTCTGCCTCCTGGGTTCAAGCAATTCTCCTGCCTCAGCCTCCCGAGTAGCTGAGATTACAGGCATGAGCCACCACGCCCGGCTAATTTTGTATTTTTAGTAGAGATGGGGTTTCTCCATGTTGGTCAGGCTGGTCTCGAACTCCTGACCTCAGGTGATCCACCCGCCTCGGCCTCCCAAAGTGCTGGGATTACAGGCGTGAGCCACCGTGTCCAGCTGGTTTTGTGGTTTTTAGAGATAGTGTCTCACTCAGTTGCCCAGCCTGGAGCGCAGTGACGTGATCATAGCTCACCGCAGCTTCAATGTCCTGGGCTCAAGCGATCTGCCCTTCCTGGCCTTCCAGAGTGCTGGGATTACAGGCATGACTACCACACTTGACAACCTCACTTTTTTTTTTTGAGATGGAGTCTCACTCTGTCGCCCAGGCTGCAGTGCAATGGTGCAATCTTGGCTCACTGCAACCTCCATCTCCCAGGTTCAAGTGATTCTCCTGTCTTAGTCTCTTGAGTAGGGGGGATTACAGGTGCACTCCACCATGCCTGGCTAATTTTTGTGTTTTTAGTAGAGATGGGGTTTCATCATGTTGGCCAGGCTAGTCTTGAACTCCTGACCTCAAGTTATCTGCCCGCCTCGGCCTCCCAGTGCTGGGATTACAGGTGTTAGCCACTGTGCCTGGCCAACCTCACATATTTTGATGCTGTTGTTAGGCCCATACACCTCAAGATCTGTTATGTTTTGTGTCTAAAGTAGTAAGATATTTCCGCTTTCTTTGGATTACTATCTTTCTCCATCCCTTTTGTGTTTTTATGTTTAAAGTGGGCTTCTTTTCTTTTTTTTTGTTCATGGCAAGATCTTGTCATGAGACAGCAGGTTTCTTTTTTCTTTGCAATGGGGTCTTGCTCTGTTGCCCAGGCTGCAGAGCAGTGGTGCAATCACAGCTCACTACAACCTCAACTTCCTGGGCTCAAGCGATCCTACCACATCAGCCTCTTGAGTAGCTGAGACTTATAGGTACACAACACCACACCAAGCTAATTTTTTTAACTTTTTGATGAGATGATTTCTCACTATGTTGTTTAGGCTGGTCTCAAACTCCCAGGCTCAAGGGATCCTCCCACCTCGGCCTCCCAAAGTGCTGGAATTACAGGAGCCATCACTCCTGGCCGAAGCAGGTTCCTTATAGAAAACACAGTTGGGGCCAGGCACTGTGGCCTGTAATACCAGTGCTTTAGGAGGCCAAAGCAGGAGGACTGCTTGAGGCTCAAGAGTTTGAGACCAACCTGGGCAAAATAGTGAGACCTGATCTCTACAAAAATAAAAAAAGAGCTGGATGTGGTGACATGCACCTGTAGTCCCAGCTGCCCGGGATGCTGATGTGGGAGGATCGCTTGAGCCCAGGGGGTCAAGGCTGCCATGAGTCATGATCAAGCTACTGCACTCTAGTCTGAGCAATAGAGTGAGACCCCATCTCTAAAAATATAAATAAATAACTTTTTAAAAAGGGGATTATTGGCTGGGTACAGTGGCTCATTCCTGTAATCCCAGCACTTTGGGAGGCCAAGGTGGGTGGATGTCTTGAGACCAGGAGGTCAAGACCAGCCTGGACAATATGGTGAAACCCTGTCTGTACAAAACACAAAAATCAGCCAGGTGTGGTAGTACATGCCTGTAGTCCCAGCTACTTGGGAGGCTGTGGTGGGAGGATCACTCGAGCCTGGGAGGTCAAAGCTTTCAATAGACTGGGACTGTGCCACTGCACTCCACCCTGGGGGACAGAGTGAGACTGTCTCAAAAAAATAAAAAAAAAATTTAAAAAGGTGATTACTGATGTTGCTGAATTAACATCTACCACATTTGTTACCATTTTCTACTTTTTGCCCTTGTTCTTCATTCCTATTTCTGTTTTCCATACTCTTCTACCTTTTGTGGGTTTACCTGAGCATTCTATTATATGTAATTCCATTTTGTATCCTTTTTTAGCATATCAACTATACTTCTTTTTTAACTTTTTAAATTGGTTTGCAATCTGCATTTACAGCTAATACAAGTCCACTTTCAAATAACAATCTCTTGGAGGCCGTGTACCATCCACTAACGAGCCTGTCAAAGGCACTGTTCCTTTCGGTTATGGTGTTTTTGGTCTCTAGTATTTAAAAAATTCTTAAAATTTCTTTTTCTTTTCTTTTTTTTCTTTTTTTTTTTTTTTTAAGAAAGATGATCTCGCTATGCTGCCTAGGCTGGCCTTGAACTCCTGGGCTCAAGCAATCCTGCTACACTATGAGGAGTTGCAAATACAGGTATGTGCCACCACATCCAGCTTCTTAAAATTTTAATCTCTTTTGCTTACATTATCAATCTGTTTTTGCATACTGTCTACTTTTTCCCTTAAAGCCCTCAGCACGTTAATCATAGTTTTAAAAAAATACCTGGTCTGATTACTCCAACACTCCTGCCACGACTGACTCTGGTTCTAATGCTTGTTCAGTCTCTTCAAACTGCATTTTCTGCCTTTTAAGTATGCTTTGTAATTTTCTGTTGATAGGTAGACATGATACACTGGGTAAAAGGAATTGCAGTAAACAGGGCTTTCATCCTGTTTTCAGGTGTTGGGGTGGGAAAGTGTTCTATGATACTATGAGCAGGGCTCAGTCTTGCTGAGCTTGTGTCCCTGGACTATGAACTTCCCAAGTGCTTTTCAGCTTCCCCCACCTGCCATTAGGTGGGACAGAATATCCAGAAGTAGCTAGTGTTAGGTATTTCCCTTCCCCCAGGAAGGTTAAGTTCTGATAAAAACACCAGCAGGTTAGGCCCTGGTAAAATTGTTTCTCCTGAGGGCAGGTCTTGTTAAGAACAGAATGGTATATTCCAAAGTGGTCCCTTTTCACTTCCTCCTGCCAGAAGCACAAGGAGATTTTTCTCTGATATTCACTGTCAGTACCTAATAGAGCTCCTGGAGGTAAAGCTCACAAAAGTATGGGGTCCTCCCATGACCGGGTCCCCCTGGAGTTTTTTTTCAGAGTTGTCCACACTGAGCCTCTAGCAATTTGCCAGTTACATTTTAGGCTTACCCATCTGGCCACCGGTTCCCTGGGAGATTATTGCTCACAAGATGTGGTTGTGATTCTTTGTATCTGCCTGTTTATCTCTCCAGAGTTTTTTTTTTTTCTTTTTTTTTTTTTAGAGTCTCGCTCTGTCACTCAGGCTGGAGTGCAGTAGTGCAATCTTGGCTCACTGCAACCTTTACCTCCTGAGTTTCAGCGATTCTCCTGCCTCAGCCTCCCGAGTAGCTGGGATTACAGGAACCCACCACCACGCCCAGCTAATTTTGTGTTTTTAATAGAGACAGGGTTTCACCATGTTGGCCAGGCTGGTCTTGAACTCCTGGCCTCAACTGATCCACCTGCCTCGGCCTCCCAAAGTGCTGGGATTACAGGTGTGAGCCACCGCACCCGGCCATACCTCTCCAATTTTGAGAGCAGTGATTTGTCCTCTGACCTCACACCTCTCTGATGGAGCTAAGATTTGTTGATTTTTCAGTTTGTTCAGCTTTTTACTTGTTAGGACACAGTGATGACTTCTAAAGTCCTTACATGTCAGAAACAGCTAAAATACTATTTATTTGGCCTTTTTCCTTTTCCTTTTTTATAAACTATATAACTGTTTAAAACTGAAATTATCACATTGTCTTTCTGAGTTTAAAATGTTATGTAGATGTATTACACATAACAACTATAACAAAAAGGATGGGAGGGATGGTTACAAGATTTCTGGATTTATGTGAAGTAGTACACAAATGAACTGTAAGTAAACTGTGGAAACTTATGTATACTGTAAACCTTAGGAAAATCACTGTAAAAAATAATGCAAAAAGATTATGTAAAAAGCAAATAATAAAATTTAAATGGAGTTATAAAAAGTATTCAAATAACCCAAATAAAGGCCGGAAAGAGGAATTTAAAAAACAGAAGAGGTAAATGTAAGTAAAAAATAAAATATTATGCACAAGTGCATTCCTGAACCATATAAACAATTACATTAAACATTAACAGACTAAACACTACAATTAAAAGACAAAGATTGTTAGGATGAAGAAACAAGACCCAATTGTATGATATCTGCAAGAGATTCACTTTAAGTGTAAAGACAGGTTGAAATTAAATGGATGAAAGAAGATATACTATGCTAACAGTAAGTATAAGAAGGATGGAATTGCTACATTAATATTAGATAAAATATATTTCAAAACAAAATGTATTACCAGAGACAAACAGGAATTCTCTTATCTCTCATAATGATAGTCATAAGTGAAGTAAGTCTTATAATACAGCTTCAAGATACATGAAGCCAACACTACAAAAATTAAAGTGAAGAAAAGACAATTCCACAATCATACTTCTGTATTTTAACACCCCTCTCTCAGCAACTGAAAGAATAACTAGACCAAAAAAAAAAAAAAAAAAAAAATCAGCAAGGATACAGAAGACCTGAACAATACCATCAACCACCTTGACTTAACTGATATTTATCTAACCCCCAAATGGCAGAATACACATTCTTTTTCAGTGCACGTGGTATTTGTACTGGGAGAGACCACATTTGGGGTCATAAAACAAGAAGCAACAAATATGAAAGGAATGAAATAATACAGAGTATGTTCTCTGACCACAGTGGAATTAAATGACAATAACAATAAGATAACTAGGAAAACACCAACTATCTGGAAATTAATGCATGTCCAAATAATCATTGGGTCAAAGAAGAAGTCACAAGAAAAACTAGATAACATTTTGAACTAAATGTTAATGAAAATACAACATATTAAAATTTTGTGAGATGCAACTTAAGCTGCACTTTGAGAAAACGATATAATTTTACAATCTTAGCTCTTACATGTAGAAACCAAATGCTTTATTCAACCAATTTTGAATGTGCACAAATATGGGGTATATTTTTCACGAGCCTTTCTGAATAAACTAGAAGACAAGCTCCAGCCAACCAAGAGATGGGGAAATTTTTGGTAAAAGGACCAGAGATAAACAATTATTAATAACATACTTAACTGGAGATATAAGCCAGTAACAAAGCTGCGGATATGAGTTGTAAAGTGTTATATGTTCTGACAGTGTAGAAACAATATAACCAACAAAAACTGGGAAAGGAATGAGGAGGAAAAGGGAGAAAAGTAGAACAAGCTTGTTGACTGTCTCAGTAGCTGGCAGTCAAAGATAATACTTACAGCTGACATATCAAGTAGTAGATGTATATTCAATAGAACAAAGGTAAACATTAAAAAAAGCCACTGGTCAGGTGCAGTGGCTCATGCTTGTAATCTCAGCACTTTGGGAGGTCGACATGGATCACTTGATCTCAAGAATTTAAGACCAGTTTGGGCAACGTGGTGAAACCTTGTCTCAACAAAAATAAAAAAAAAACTAGCCAGGTATGGTGACATGTGCCTGTAGTCCTAGCTACTTGGAAAGCTGAGGTGGGAGGATTGCCTGAGCCTGGTACGTGGAGGTTGCAGTGAGCCGAGATCGTGCCACTGCACTCCAGCCTGGTGACAGAGTGAGATTCTGTCTCGAAAAAAAAAAAAAAAAAAAAAAAAAGACTACTACTGACTAAACTTGGCAAATGAAGGAGAGAATGGAGTGAAGAATAAAAAGGACATGGTAGGGTACCGATATCTATTGTCAAAAGGAAATAAGTGTATTATAAAGAAGGGAATGAAGTTGTTATCAAGGTAAATCACCAAAACAAAAATATGATCAGAAGTAGTATATATATATTTTTAAAGCAAAGAAACAGACCAGCAAGATAAAACTTCTAAAGCATGTGCACATGCTCACATTTGTAGAGGGGCTGTATCTGTGAGACTGCCCCTGGGGGAGGCCATTAATATGAACGCCATGCCCCAGCTGTCCCTCGCTTGGAGCCTCTTAAGGCAGGATTGGGAGGCTGCTCCCAGGATTAGCATCCCATCCATTCTCACCTTTCTGGCAGCTTTTCAAGATATCTGGTTCCTCAGCTCCCAGAAGATTCAGGACCCAAAGTTCCTTCCCCTGCTCCAGCTGGGAGATCAACTCCGGCTTAGGGACAGGGAATCCTGTTGAGGATGAGGACACTGGTGAGCTGGCATGGCCCACTGGGCCTTCCAGGCCAGGTGTGGAGAGATGGGCCCTGTGTGCACGTGTGTACGCCTGCACGTGTGTTGGTCAGGGGGCCCGTGGGCTGAGACTAAGTACTGAAGGAGAATCCACTCATCAGCTCTCCTGCCACTGGAGGGACACCAGTGGGGCCACTGGCAACAGGGAGTGAAGTCCCTAGAACTGGGGAGCAAGGCAGGCTTTTCCCATGGGAAATGTTCCTTCTGTAGAGATCAGACTGATACCCGGGGACAAGGGGCAGGACCCTCTTCTTTGGGATCCAAAGAGCCAAAGCAGCCTCCCAAGCTCCTCAGAGGCCCCCACTGCGAACCAGGCCAAGTGCAGAGAGCCTCACCCAGAGAGGCCACGTTCCCATAGTTCTCCAGCATCACATCCCGGTAGAGCGCCCGCTGCTGGGGGCCCAGCTGCCGCCCCTCCGCCTGAGAGAAGTACACGGCCACATCCTGGAAGGTCAGCGGCATCTCCTGCAACAAAACATCGCCGCTGCCCAGGCCATGCCCACGGGGCAGCAGCCTGCACTAAAAGGGCCCTGACCTGGTGGGGCCCCACTACCCAGGGCCCTGCTGTGGTCAGTATGAACTGTGTATCAGCAGGTCCCTGATGGGGCAGCTGAGAGCGCTGAGGACCAGCCAACTTCAGCTACACGGGGACCCAGCTGAGCTCAGAGCCCCTCTCCCTGCAGGAGGGCGAGTCTACCTCTCAGAACCCTTTCCTCACGGTTGCTATGAGCCCCTGGCTGGCCTTACCAGTTGCCGGGCTCACGGCTCCAGAGGAGAGTAGCTTCTGACTGGGATGGGGATGAAGATGAAGAGGTGGGCAGGAAGGAGGGTTAACTCACCTGGTGCCCTGGAAGCTGGAATGTGGCTGCCATTCTGTGTGCATGGGCTGCTGTGGTTTCCAAGAGAAGACAGG
The DNA here is from genome assembly GCF_000001405.40 of Homo sapiens. NCBI lineage: Eukaryota > Metazoa > Chordata > Mammalia > Primates > Hominidae > Homo > Homo sapiens. The sequence goes on from NT_187569.1 coordinate 129,253, forward strand.
AGACTGCCCTGGCCTGAAGTCTCCCCGAACTTACCTTCAGTGGGGAGAACTCAGGCTCAGCCCCATTCAACCAGGGGTGTGGAAGGATGGCCAGGAGGCAGAAGCTGATTGCTGCTGTGGCCTCCTGGGTCGCGGGAGGCAGGTCACTATGCAGCACGGGCCGACGTGCCCTACTGCTCAGTGACTCCTGAAATCCCAGAACGGCCAGAGCCAGAGCCCGGGGGGATCCAGGGACGCCCGGCTAAGGGGTGAAAGCTGGCAGTTCCCGTGGTCCAGACCTGCTGAAGGCCCTGGAAATGGGGTGCAGGGCCGTTCTACCTGCCTGGCCAACCTGGGGCAAAGAGCCACGTGAGGGTGCAGCCTCACCAAGGCTGAGGACGTGAGAAGGAGGCCGCGGGGATGCTGCCGAAGGCCCCAGGCTCCGGGGAGAGGCCGGAAGCCAGCTGTGGTCCTCAGTCCAGCCTTCTAGGGCCGCGCCGCGGTCGCCTCCTCCCGGCCTCTGCAGCCCGTCGGTGGCTCCCGCGGCACCCAGAACAGGCTCCTCCTGGACTGGCCGCCGCCTCCCCGCGCCCTCCCCGCGCCCTCCCCGCCTGCCTGCCCGCTTGGCGCTCCTTCCTGGTCCGACACTGCCCCACCTGTTTGCTCGACCCGGGGAAGCCACCGAGGAAGCGCCGAGGAGCTGCGCAGTCGCACCGAGCCCGGAACGGACCCTCCCACAGAACCGGGTCCAGAGCCGGGGAGGGGGCGGGCTAGGATGAAGAGGGCGGGCCGGGCCGAGCTGCGCACACGCAGGCTTCCCCGCCCCCTGCGGGGCCTCAGTACGCCTCCGAGAACGCCGGGAACCGGAAGCCAGCCGCGGTTCCGCCCGGATTCTTCCGGGGCCGCTCTGGGATGACTGGAGGCCTGCGCCGTCTATGGTCGGGGAGGGGGAGAGCCCACGGCAGCTGAGCGGAGGGTCTGGCGCGGTGACGCTGCGCATCCGGGCCGCGCCGCGCTCGCCCCGACCCTAAACCCTCACCTGAACCCTAACCCCGCTGGGCTCCCGGCTCCCCCGTCGGTCACCATACATCGTGTGTCCCGATTCACCATAACCACCAGAAAGTCGCTTATGAAGATGTTACAATTATCGGGGCTCAGAACACAACGCCCCAAAATGAAGGCCTGGGAGGCAGTTTCCCTCTGACCTTCCCAGGCCTCCAGTCTCAGTTCTTTTCTCCCGCGAGGCTCCTCACAGAGTGAATCCCTTTTACCCAAGGCGAGTCCCAGAGGCCAGACCCCCAAAGCCAGCCACAAAACCTAAAAACACGACTCTGATGTTCCCCCCGCTTTTCTGTGTGAAAACTGGCGGTAAAGGCCGGGCGTGGTGGCGGGCGTCTGTAGTCCCAGCTACTCCGGAGGCTGAGGCGGGAGAATCGCTTGAACCCGGGAGGCGGAGGTTGCAGTGAGCCGAGATCGCGCCACTGCACTCCAGCCTGGGTGACAGAGCGAGACTCCATCTCAAAAATAAATAATAAATAAATAAATAATCCATTTATTTGCCTTTTCTCCAAAAATCTGCCTTTTATGAGTTGGCTTTCAGTGAACCTTCAGAGGGCAAAGAGGAACTTTCCCTTTGGCCCCTACACAATAAAGCATGGTTGAAAAAATAGCACTTGATAAAGGTGAGGAGACCAGCTTAGGAGCAGGGGGAGAAGGAAAGGAAAGCCAAGCCATCTTGTCACCCAGAATATAGTGTAGGCCCTGTACACTGTGTTAGAATCAAGGCAGAAATTTTATATCTGAACTTGAGACGATCAACGAGGATGGAGAATGTCTAGAAGTCTAAAGCACCATGCAAAGTCACACATGATTAAGAAGATGCCTTACATTATTAATATCAGTGCTGGGGAGATTGTGGAGAATTACGCACTGCTATGCTTGAGGAAGCGTGTTTAGTACAATGTTGAAAATGAATTAAGCTGTACATAAAGAGCCTTAAACACTTCAATTAATCTAGGAATCTATCCTATGGAAATAACAAAAATGACAAAGAGAAGGGTGCCCATTCCAGAGTTTGTTGTGTGTGTGGTTTTTTTTAAATAATGGGGAGAATTTGGAAAATAGCTAGTTATTCATAGAAGGGGAAATGGAAGATAATTATGCTTTTTGCAGCACAGAAATAGATAAATCTATTGTCTTCTGTACACTCAGTTGAACATTATGCAGCCATTATGTGTGGTATTTGAAAAAAAAGTATTGGCAGAGGGTAATGCTTATGAAATAGAATGTGAAAAATAGAATACAAAATTATATTTATGATATGATCTCAATTGTATATATGGGTGTTTAAGTTCACAAACTTAAGGTTTCCAGATATAAGGACCTAGGTTGGTTTGTTCACTGCTCAGCCACCAGCCTGGAACATAGTAAGTACTCTATAAATACTTGGGAAGTGCTTGAAAAACGTATATAAAAAGCTGAAAATAAATACATCATTACTAGTTGTAAGATTGCAGAATATTTGATTTCCTCTTTTTCTTTTTCACATCTCCTACAGGGGGCGTGTAATCACTCTGTGACTGGTGGCTGCAGGCTCTCCTAATGGATATTTCCTATTTACAGGGCTACCAACTGCCAAGCATCCAAGCAGTCCCTAGGCAGCAATCCAGCAGCTGACAGGGTTACCGGCGTCAACTGCCACAGATGCTAGGCTGGTTTGCCATATTTACATGGATTTGATCAGCAATGAGCACAAAAGATAGAGATTGTTTCTTTCTTTCTTTTTTTTGAGGTGGAGTTTTACTCTTGTTGCCCACGCTGGAGCGCAATGGTGAGATCTTGGCTCACTGCAACCTCCACCTCCCAGGTACAAGTGATTCTCCTGTCTCAGCTTCACAAGTAGCTCGGATTACAGGCATGCAGGACCATGTCCAGCTAATTTTTTTGTATTTCGTAGAGACGGGGTTTCACCATATTAGTCAGGCTGGTGGCAAACTCCTGACCTCAAGTGATC